>NC_000003.12:137341937-137644967 GCF_000001405.40 Homo sapiens
GCTTCTTCTTTTCTGTCCACAAGCTTTAAAATTAAATTGAATCTTCATAATTATAGCTTTTTGTTGTTCTCCTTCATATCTTTTTCTTTTTTTCAATTTCTCTATCAAAGGAGCAATAAAGACATAAAGAAGCAAAATTATAATTCTAAAAGACCCAAATAGTCTTGAGTTTGATGGGTTTGAGGCTGGGTATCTTTTAAGTAGGAGGAGAGCGGGTAAAGAAATTCAGACCTGGAATGTAGATAAATTGGCCCTAATTTATCCTGGGGCATTGGAAACAAATGAAAATTGTCCTCTCAATCATGAAACTTTTGTGGTTGTTATAGTGTTCTTATTTGTGTCAAGTGATACTCTCCTTTTTTAAAAAATAAATATTCTGTCTCTATATATCCACATGCACACACGAACACACATATTTTCTCTTGTGGTTAAATTTTCCCAAAGTCTCATGTAGTTATTAAATCTCTCTTAAAATCCCTTTCTTAGGCACTAAGGAATCTTCACTCATGTTACATATCTTGAAAGTGGGAGATGAAGAGCTAAAACAACATTCGTGCTTGGGGTTGACCCAGCCAAGGTACCAACCAAGGGGTTTGTAGGAATTGGAATCAGGAAGGGGGCTCTGATAGGAGGTCCTGAGAGTCAGAGGTAAGAGTCAGTTAAAGTCCATTGGGAAGAGCAGAGGCTCAAACACAAACATGGGAAGTATGGGTAAAAGAGACCCTTCAATCTCCTTCCACTCTCACTTCCACCTTGGTCCACTGTTTACTACCTCCACCATAGGAGAAAAGAAATTGCCAAGTGGATAGGTCAGATAGGTCTTCCTGACTGGACCTGCATTCCTGGTGGGTAGAATTACAGTGCTTCAAAGGCTGATGCCCCTGCCTAGCTGATCCTCAGATGGAAGCAGGACATGACCTCCTTGGATGAGCCAACCATTCTCATGAGTCTACCCTTCAGTCTAAACTGGTGGTTGTGTAGCGGATCCAGGGCCTGTCTTGGGGCTTGGTGTCCCTCTCTCTCCATTTCTCCAGCCAAAAATCTGCTTTCTTAAACTAAGCATCACAAGGGAGACCTATATTTAGCAGTTGCTGGCTTAGCTATTACTAAGGACTTAGCTATTACTAAGTACTTCAAATTCATCAAATTGTATACATTAAACATGTACAGGTTTTTTGGGGGGGAGGCGTATATCATTTATACTTCAATAAAGCTGTTAAAAAATAAGGAGATACTATGATTCCTATCCTGTTACTGCTCCCTTGGGAACCCTCTGGCAAGGATAGTGTATTAGTTTGTTTTCACAATGCTATAAAGATACCACGTGATACTGGGTAATTTATAAACAAAGGAGGTTTGACTCACAGTATCTAACTTTCAGAAATAACAGGAATAATCCCTGTAAGTTAGGAATTAGGAATAATTCCTATAAGTTAGACAACCCCCTGCATGGCTGGGGAGGCCTTGGGAAATTTACAATCACGGCAGGAGGGGAAGCAGGAAGCATGGCAGTGGGTGAAAGAGAGCGTGTGAAAGAGGAACTGTCAAACACTTATAGAATCATCAGGTTTCCTGAGAACTCACTCACTATCACGAGAATAGCATGGGGGAAACCACCCCCATGATCCAGTCACCTCCCATCAGGTCCCTTCCTTGACACGTGGGGATTATGGAGATTACAATTCAAGATGAGATTGATGAGCTTTGGGTGGGGATGCAGAGCCAAACCATATCAGATAGAAAGGCAGAAAAGGATTTCAGTGTTCCTAGGATTCTGGCCATAATATAATATAGCAAACTATCTTACCTCTAAAGTATGAGACCAAATGGAAACATTGAGTCAGACAGTATTCCAAATTCGACAGAGATAATAAGATCAACGGGAGGCTAGATTCAAGACAGGGATGAGGGTCCTGGAACATTTCTTTGAATATCAGTAGACATTTACATGTCACAGTAATGAATTGTGGGTTACATGGTATGTGATGAGTCAGGCTGGGTTAAGGTACAGAAATACTTCTCCATGAAAAAAGGATTTATAAAGCAAACAACAGTGTAATTAAATATCAGACAAGTGTTTAATTTACTTATGAAAATAAATTGAAATAAGGATTTAAAAAGTCTCTTAACGTATTTGCAAAGCAAGAGTTACTATCCTGATCACAGGGGAAGGGAATTTGGGGATGACCTAGTCCATTTATCTCACATGTTGAAGAAACTGAAGCTCAGAGGAGTCAGCTGGAATCAAGACCCCAAGTCTCACCAAATCTAAATCATATCTTATAATGCTTTCTTCTAGCAACATTACTCTTCTTCCTTAGCTCCTTTAGTCTGCATTTAAATAATAATAATAATGTATTTCCTTTCTAAACCTGTAGAATTCAGAATTTTTACTAATTTAACTTTTGAGAGACTGGATTAGTATTAACGAAAACTACAATATCTCCACACTCTAATGGGTGTGGCCAAGAAGACAAGAGACTAGAGTTTTAAGAAGTTCATTCTGAAAAATAATTTCAGCAATAGGAGTTTCTTTTGTAATGCTTTACTTTTAAAAGAACCCAACAAAACTTCCAATTATCTAATTAGCCTATTTGTTATTCCTGTAAGTTAGACACAGACATAATTTACCCCATTTTATAAATGGACAAACCAGTTCTTAAAGCAGTTCTGTTATTCCTAAGATGATGGCCATTCTGCAAGGGTATGGTAAGTCACCTATAAGGCTGTCTCTACAACCTCATTAACCCAATGAAGTCTGTGATGTGATTGTAAAGAAGTAGTCTGGGAAATTGATCCTCAGAGGCAGATGGAGTGGCCCAACCCTGTGGCCCATCTGGTCGCACTCTACAACATTAGGGCTCGAGGTACAGGTATCTGATTGAGAAGCAAAAGGTTCAGTGCAGTGATGGGGGAAGAGGAGGCCATCAATTACTGAGAAATTTGTTAACCTCCCCTGAAACCAAATCAGATGGGTTTAAAGCTCAACCAATTTAATTGAATGGACATGAATCAGGTACCTCTTCTGAACTGAATAGGGGATTCACCTGGGAAGGCGACCCAAGCCCTCCTCCCGAGAAGCTTCCTTCTCTCTATACTCACACCAGGCCCTAAGCAGGGCAGACTGTAAACAACAGTATAGTAGGATTAAGTATAAAATATACTAACCACCCTTACTGAGCGATTGCTATGTATCAGACTTTCGTCCAAGTCTCTTGACTAGATCACTTTGCTTAACAAAGAGACAGAGAAAAATGGAGGAAGAGATAATGCACACTCATTAGTCCATTGGTTCTTTCATTCAGACAGTAAACAGTCCCAGACCATTCACTCTTTTCCAAGCTCTGTGCTAAGCACTGAGGACATACAAGTGAATAAGGCAAGTCAACATTCCATAGAAAAATGTGATGTGAATCAGAAAATGATGTGCAAGATTAAAAACTTGTGGCATATGATTGTGTTGTGAGGCTATGGGAAAGAAGGGTCTTTATTGAAGAGCTACTATGGCAGCTTTAGTTCCAATTTTCACAGGAATGGGAAGAGTAAAAATGGGTGTCAGGGAGGCTGGGTGCCCTGTTCAGTGATGAAGCATCATATGTGAGAGTCTTGTATGGGCCACCTGCCCAGGGCTGTCTGGGAGGCAAACAGGGGAACCTGGAGGCTGAGAGAGGAGAAGGGGTGGTTGTAGGAAGGAGAAGGTTCAAAATCCCCAAATGGTTGTGAGCAACACACATTCTGTCTCCATTGCCTGTCTTCCTCACTTCAGTTTCTCATGGGCTGTCTTCCTTTCCTCCCATTGTCAGCCACTCTCCTCTGCCACCAGCTTAAACTGTCTGAAGCTCAACTTCAATCATACTAATAATAGCTAATACTTACAAAACCCTTCTTCTGTATACTGTTTTAAGCTCTTTATAAATGTATAAATGAATTTAATCTGCACAATCCTGAGAGGTAGGTACCATTATTATCCCCATATTACACATGCTATCACTGAGACCCAGAGATGAGACCTGTTTCAGGTCACAGAGAAGTGAAGGGAAGAGAGAGACTGAACCCCAGATAGTGGGCTACACAACATACACTTCAAGTGGCCAGGCCAGGCTCTGGGGCTTGTGTTATCTAGTAGTTTAAAAACATACCCTGGCTTGCTATCCATATCACAAGTAAATCTAGATGTTCACTTGTGATTTGGCTGCAATTTCCAGTCCTTTGTCCCACTGCCCATAATGTTCAGTCACTCGTCAGGCAAACAGAATTACTTAACAAGCTTTAATGTACCCCTTGGCTTCCTGCCTCTTTACCTTTGCTTCTTTTTCCTCCTCCTGGAAGGTCTCTTCCTTTGCAACTCCAAATCTACCTACCCATATTCAATGACCAGCTTAAGTACCACTTTCTCTACAAAGGCTTCTTGATTCCTGAGTTGAAAAATTGCTCTCCCTCCTCTGAACTCTCATGATACTTTTATTTATTTATTCATTTATTTTTTGAGACAGGGTCTCTTCTGTCACCCAGGCTGGAGTGCAGTGGCATGATCGTGGCTTACCGCAGCCTCAACCTCCTAGGTTCAAGAGATCCTCCCACCTCAGCTTCCCAAGTAGCTGGGACTACAGGCATGCACCACCACATCCAGCTAAGTTTTGTATTTTTCATAGAGATGGGGTTTTGCCGTGTTGTCCAGGCTGGCATTGAACTCTTGAATTCAAGCCCTCTGCCCACCTTGGCCTCCCAAATTGTTGGGATTACAAGTGTAATCCCACTGTGCCTGGCTGTCATGATAATTTTAAATTTACAATGTCTCTTGACCCCTTTATATACAAAGACTTGTGGTACCTTATAACTAAGGTAGACATACTTTATTTCCATTTTAATTTGTAAGCTTCGTGAGGCCTTCTCCTCTGTGCTGCACCTCCCCTGCCCTTGAAGCTTCCTTAGTTGCCCACCACTTCAATTCTTCCCCTGACTAACACTCTGGCCAGGACCCATGACACACTGAGCACTCAAGGATAAAAAACAGAGTGGCCAGATGTCCTGGCTTACCAAGGACTGTGCTGTTTTACATCTGTGGGTTGGGTGTTATTATCAATAGTGGCCTCCTCACTTTCAAAATGTCACAGTGTGGAAGATAAATCCTTATTACCCAGGTAAAAGTCACTCTCTAGGCAGGGCAGTGTGGCATTGTGGTTAAGACCTGGGACTCTAGGATCAGACACCGTGGGTTAGAAACCCAGCTTTGTCATTTGCTGTCCTTGTGGCCCTGAGCAAGTATGCCTGGAAACCCTCTTCTGTGAAGCAGGCATAACCGCAGTCCCCCACTCATCCATAGGCAACTAGGAGGACCAGATGAGTCAACCTTGTAGACTTGCCTGGGATGCAGTAGTAGTGCTCACCAACAGGAGGCAATGCTTTTGGGTATCCACAGGTCCAGCTGTACTCTTACCAGGTGTTAGTTGTCTTGGTTTATAAATCTGTTTTATAATAGCTGTGCTTAATAATGTAACCATGAAATTGAATTAAACATTACATAAACTGATGATAAGTGTGACAAGAGGAATTGTTGCTTCTTTGAACATTAAATTGAATGCTTTGGATTTGATAAAGGTGAGTCACTAAAAAATAGCTGTTGAATTACATGTGGGTAAAATCACTATAAAAGATTGGGAAACAAACATCTACAAAGTTTCTGCACTTAGGTGTCTTAAAATGACTTTAAGTTATTGCTGTAACTCATAGAAGCTAAAATTGTGGGTGTTTGCACAGGAAAGGGAAGGCAGAACTCCTTTAGCACATGCACATCGAAAGAAAAGATTCTGACCCAGCAGCAAAATAATAGTGAATAAATTGCACATTTGTGTGTTTTAGTTGAAATAAAACATGTAAGATCTATTTACATAACTTTTTTTAAAGCCTCACAACTTTAGTGGACTTTTTTTTTTCAGCGACTGCTATCTCTTGTGTGGACTGTTGTAGATAAGAGGACAACTCTAAACACTTTTTGAATTAATGAGTAAACAAATGCTTGGGATTAGAGGGTCACTGTAGAAAATGGTGTTGGCTCTGCTTTTCTTCTGTTGACCCTTGCCTCTAAAGGTCAAGCCTGCTTGCTAGGGATGCCTTGCACTCTTCATCTGAGAGCTTTTATTTCTGGCTGCAGGAATCACTCTGCTGACATGCAGGGCAAGTCAGGAGTGAGTGTGGGAGAGTTAATGACACAGAAATCAGTCCCTCCAGTGACAGACAGGGACTTGGTAAATAAATAACTTGGGTTCCTCACCCACCATTGAGACATCTGTGAGGCAAGTTCTACAGTCTCCCAGAGTGCCCCAGGTGCCCACAGTGGTAACTTACTTGACAACACAGCCTCTGCTGCTGCCTCTCCTCCATGCTGCACCTCCTCACTCCCACAGTGATGTTTCCCAGGATCACCTCCCAAATAAATGACTTGCTCCTGAATTCTTGTCCTAGAGTTTGCTTCTGGGGGACCCAAACGAAGACATAGCCCCAAACCTTAGGGCTTAGGATAATGTCTTTCACATAGAAGATGTACAATAAAAGATGTACAAATTTGATCAAACCAAAGAGCACAAATTTACTCAGGATGCGTTTAAAAAATTACCTGATTTGATTGAAGTTGAAACAAAGTATTAAGATTTTGAAGTCAATAAATGTTGCCACGTTAGTTGTTACCAGACCAGTTACCATAATAGTTTTTTTTTTTTTTTAATTTACATCCAGATGTTTTCTCTTGTACCTGAAGTCTTTGAGCAATTTGAGCCATGGGAATTAAGCTTCAAATGCAGGCCCAACAAAGTCAGTAAGGTCTCCTTTATTTCCTGTCCTCTCTTATTCTGTCCAAAGAGAGGGAGCTGTTCTCCAGGGGTTCTGCATGGGTCTGCTTCTGCTTCAGGTTGGTTGGGAGGCAGCGCAATGGCTCCCAGGTTCTCAATGATGATGAACCCTGTGTCTGTGGGCCAAATAGCCTTCTCTGAGCCTTAATATCTTCCTCTGACTAAAGGGCCCAAGACCTTGGTGTTCATAAAAATGTTCGAAAACCTCTCACTTGTTAATTCCCCAGTGCATCCCCACCCTACACTGAGCACACAGCTTAGACTGTGTGTTCCAGGACGAGCATAAGGCCCCAGGCGCCATGCCATACCTGATGAGGTCTGTAGATTCATGTGAGCAGCAGCAGCTGCTGCCTGGGAAGTTATCCAACGCTCCATCAAATCTCAACAACTGTCCTGGGATGGCTGTGCTGGCTGGGATTGCCCACTGCAGCCAGCAGAAGCCCATACACACCTGTGGTTAATCCCCCAAAGCAGCAGTTCCGGTCTATGAAGGGCAGGCAACATCCGGGCTGGGCACGGAAAGGTGAACAAACACTACCAGTGCCCTGCCAATTGCCAGTCCCTTCATTCTGGTGTTTTTTCTTGGGCAAATTTGGTTCCTGAAATTAATTATTCAACAGGAGGTGACAGCCGGTGTATAGCAGCTCTGTTGGAACAGAGAATAAAAAGGCACATTGGACACAGCAGCTGCACCTCCCAGACCCTGAAATTTAAGATCTTTATAAATGATCTGTTAAAACTATAGTGACGATAAGCTTATGAATCATGATCTATATTAATCAGGGCTGCTGATATGGAAAGATTAATTGAAACGTGCAGTTCTACACAAATGATAAAGTGGTAACAATTTAATATCAGACAAGAAGAGTGAAGAAATTACACTCCAAGCTTCATGCATCATTACTATGGATATTAATATTTTACCCAGCGCAACAGCATCGGGAATCATAATGAAAATCCATAAGTGGTGCACAGACATGATTAAATACAACAGTCTTTAGGAGCTGTTTGGTGGCGGCAGTTGGGCCATATTTCACTCGGCGGCTGGTGATTCCAGTGATAGAGTCTAGACGAGGGTGATTAAAAATTGTTCCTCCTAAAGGCTGTTAACCTTTTACTACTAAAATGAATTTCTTTGATTTTTAAATTATGTTGTTCTCTTTGCTCTTTTCAATACCAAATTTGATCCCAAACCTTGACAGGGTGCTGGGTCCTTGGCATAGTGACAGTCAAAGCAAAATTTCTCAGCTGTAGTCCCCTGCCTCAGGGTGTGGCCTTGACCAGGTCATGCAGAATGTTGGGTCATTTTCTGCCTTCAACCAGGGCTGGCTGGAAAGAGTGAATGATAAACTATCAGGGGCTTCTAGGGAGTTCCCAAAGACCAGAAGTTGATAAGGCTGACCTCCTTACCCAACCTTAAGAGAGTAGAGATGGAAATGACTTATTTCGAGATCCTGGTCTCACTGGCTTAATTAATTCATTTATTCAATCACTCATCCAACCAATAAGCAAACAAGCATGCACTCACACCTGGGAAATGCAAAAATCAGCCCCAATAAACACATGTTCCATGCTGAGGAGATTAAAACCTGAATCACTGTGATGGCTTTAAAAAGAAGCCAGAGAGAGTCAAGAACAGCATCTTTGCCAGACTGTTTCTTCCTCCCTGTGAAATCTTAAATCCCATAAGCCAAGAGAGAGTCTCCTGACCTCTTTTGTCTTCAGCTGAAACAGAGAGTTTAGTGTATATGTGCAGTAGTAAAATTTATCTCCACATCAGGTGGTAATAAGAAATACAGCCTATTTCCTTAAGGACATTATATCCATTTCTTCAGTATTCTGGTTTCTTAGGTCTCTAGAAGTGATCCTCAAATTTTAGCATGCACAAGTATCAACTAGAGAGGGAGGGGCTTATTTAAAATGTAGTTTTAAAGGGTCTCCAGGGTGTCCCTGGAGATTTCTGGGAATCTTTTTTTCTGAAGAACTCTCTCCTTTCTGAAACTCCCTCCTGCAACTTCCAGCCACGTCAACCTCCCTGAACTCCTATTTATCTTCTCAACTCAGTGAGACCATGTCCTTGGTTTGGGAGCTATTTGCTGCTTTGTGGTCTGGAATGTGTTTTCAGGCAAAAAGCTGGTGTATCACAGAACTCATCTTCTCCGTTTTCCCTCTTTCACAAATCACAATTCTGGGCTGCTTGTTCTCTAATGTCTGGAAACAGTTGTTTCATACATTTTGCCTGTTTTTTAAAAGGCTTACAGTAGAAGGGTAAATATGGTCACAATTGCTTTCATAGGGCTAGAGATGAAAGTTGCTACCATCACTTTTTACCTGAAATACTGCAATAATGTCTTGATTTTCATACCGTCCAACTTTTCTATCTGATGTTCTACCACTCTCTTTATTCATGAGGCTCAGCCACAACCAATGTCCTCCTGTTCTTTAACTATGCCAGTTATCTCTCAAACCTGGGGGCTTTGTGCTTGCTCTTCCTTCTGCATGGAATACTTCTCTTATTCAGGTTTGCAATTCAAATGTCACTTCATCTGAGAGGTCTACCTTGACCACCTAGCTAAAGTCAACATCCAATATCAAAGTTTACTATATTGTATCTAGACCACTTCCTCATTGACTTCATTGCTTTCTGATGTATTTGCTTACATGTTTACTGTTTGTTATCTCCCACTAGAATGAAAGTTCCATGAGTCAGGAACCACATATACCTCGTTTATCATATATCTCTAGTGCCTAGAACCATGTGATAAATACTCAAAACTACTTATTGAGTGTCAAATGAATTAATTAATAAATGTGGAAAGATATACCAAGAAAATTCAGGATGAATATTGTGACAGGGTTTGAGGGAGAACCTGTCACTAGAAGAGAGAAATCTTGCTCTGATAGGGAAATAAATTAATCTTATAATATTTGGACTCTGGTTTAGTCAGTTATTTGAGACTATCATAATCCTGTAATGAAATGGCTAAGAGCATGAATTTTGAAGTTTGGAATATTTGAGTTTGGTTCTTGGCTCTACTTCTTAGTAAGTGTATAATCTCAATAAGCTTCAGTTTATTATTCTGTAGAGAATAATCCATTAGAGTTATTGTGAAATAATAGTGTTTATAGAACTTGTGTTACAGTGCCTGGCTCTGTAGAATATGTGGTGCAGTACCAGACATAGACTTTAAAATAACTATGTTTAGTAGATATAAGGAGATAGAAATAAGATTGATTTTTTTTCACAGAGAACTGAAACCACAAAAAACAGTACCAAATAAAAATCATAGAACTGAAAAAATATAACAATCAAGTTAAAGAACTCATTGAAAAGGTTTTATATCAGATTATGCATCCTTAAGAGAGGAATCCATGGATGGGAGAAGTAGGTCAGAAGACAACAGCCTTAATGAAACACAGAGATACAAAATTATAGGAAACACAGAAGAGATTATAAGAGATACAATACAAGGAGAGGTTCTAACATATGTGTCATTGGAGTCTGAGAAGGTGAGGATCAAGAGAATAGGTCAGAAGAAAGTAATGGAAGAGAGCTTGTCAAAAACTAGTGAAAGACTTTGGGCCACAGATTTAAGGTGGCCTGCAAAGCCTGAACCAGGCAAAAAGAAATCTATACCTAGGCATATAGTAAAAATGCATAAAATCAAAAACAACTAGAAACATAGAAGCTATCAGAGGAAAAAGAACAGATTATTTTCAAAGGAACAAAACTTAGACTGGCAGCTAACCACTTAATAGAAACAATTTAAACGAAAAGACAGTGAAATTACATCAAAGTGTGAAAGAAAATGAATGTCAACCTAGAATTCAATATCTAGTCAAAAAGTCTTTCAAGAATGAAAGGAAAATAAAGACATTTTCAAACAAATAAAATCTGATAATTTGTCACAAGGAGAGCCAGCAGTAAAGGTGGCAAAAGCAGTAAAGGCAGAAAAAGAAAATTATTCTAGATGGAAGCATGGAAATAATGGAATAATGATGTGTAGTGAAAATGATGTAGGTAAATAGAAATGAACAATGACTATGTCAAATAATTATAATGTATTATTAGGTTTAAAATATAGAGAACATTAACATGCATGATAATAATGCTATATATGTCAGGAAGGGTATGCAAATGGAGCTAAAGAGTTCAAATGATTTTGCTTGTATTGCCTGGTTAGAGAGTAAAATACCAATTAATATTAGACACTTACAATGTCACTTAAGGATGCATGTGGTAATTTCTACTGTTATCATTACAATAGTAAAGCAGTCTATAATTTCCAAGATAATAGAGGCAAAAATTGAATAAAAACACTCAGAAGCTATTTTAAAATGCAGAAAAGAAGAGAAAGAGGAAATAGCACAGGTATGGTAAATTTGACCCAAACATATCAGTAACTACATTCAAATCAAAAAGACTAAATGCTTGAGGACAGGAGTTTGAGACCAGCCTGGGCAAGAGAGAGACCCCATTTCTAAAAAGAAAAAGAAAAAGAAAAATAATTAGCCTGTTGTGGTGGCATGCTTGTAGTCCCACCTACTTGGGAGGCTGAGGCAGGAGGATTGCTTAAGCACCGGACTTTGAGGCTGCAGTGAGCTGTGATGCACCACTGTACTCCAGTCTGGGTGACAGAGAGATACATCATTATAAATAAATAAATAAATAAAATAAAAGTTCTTTAGAGTGAATAAAAAATAAAACTCATCTACACTGTTATGAAAGACACATGTAAAACGGGCAAGGACTTCATGTCCAAAACACCAAAAGCAATGGCAACAAAAGACAAAATTGACAAATGGGATCTAATTAAACTAAAGAGCTTCTGCACAGCAAAAGAAACTACCATCAGAGTGAACAGGCAACCTACAACATGGGAGAAAATTTTTGCAACCTACTCATCTGACAAAGGGCTAATATCCAGAATCTACAATGAACTCAAACAAATTTACAAGAAAAAAACAAACAACCCCATCAAAAAGTGGGCGAAGGACATGAACAGACACTTCTCAAAAGAAGACATTTATGCAGCCAAAAAACACATGAAGAAATGCTCATCATCACTGGCCATCAGAGAAATGCAAATCAAAACCACTATGAGATATCATCTCACACCAGTTAGAATGGCAATCATTAAAAAGTCAGGAAACAACAGGTGCTGGAGAGGATGCGGAGAAATAGGAACACTTTTACACTGTTGGTGGGACTGTAAACTAGTTCAACCATTGTGGAAGTCAGTGTGGCGATTCCTCAGGGATCTAGAACTAGAAATACCATTTGACCCAGCCATCCCATTACTGGGTATATACCCAAATGAGTATAAATCATGCTGCTATAAAGACACATGCACACGTATGTTTATTGCGGCACTATTCACAATAGCAAAGACTTGGAACCAACCCAAATGTCCAACAATGATAGACTGGATTAAGAAAATGTGGCACATATACACCATGGAATACTATGCAGCCATAAAAAATGATGAGTTCATATCCTTTGTAGGGACATGGATGAAATTGGAAACCATCATTCTCAGTAAACTATCGCAAGAACAAAAAACCAAACACCGCATATTCTCACTCATAGGTGGGAATTGAACAATGAGATCACATGGACACAGGAAGGGGAATATCACACTCTGGGGACTGTGGTGGGGTCGGGGGAGGGGGGAGGGATAGCATTGGGAGATATACCTAATGCTAGATGACACATTAGTGGGTGCAGCGCACCAGCATGGCACATGTATACATATGTAACTAACCTGCACAATGTGCACATGTACCCTAAAACTTAGAGTATAATAAAAAAAAAAAAAAAAAAAACACAAGGATAAATAAGTTGAAGGTAAGAAGAAAGAAAACATCAGAATAAAGCTGATATAATAAAATGTTTAACTCATAATGAATATATAATAATTTTAAATTTTATGCACTTAATAATATAGAAGCAAAATATAATGCACAAATTTTATAGGTTTATGAGAACTGGATACATCCATGATCAAAATGAGTAATTATGACATATCTATGAATAATTCATTTTAATAAACAGGCCAAAAAAATCAGCAAAGTTATAGGGAATCAAAAACATGTATGAGCATTCTACCCACCATCTATGGGATAGATATTCTTTTTTAAAATTTTATTCTCCCTGGCTCTTCATTTTTATTTTTTCTAAAGTTTTTATTTTTGATTTTTATGGGTACATAGTAGGTATATATATTTATAGGGTACATGGCATATTTTGATACAGGCATACAATGTGTAATAATCACATCAGGGTAAATGGGGTATCCATCACTTCAAGCATTTATCATTTCTTTGTGTTACAAATAATCCTATTATACTGTTTTAGTAATTTTTAAATGTACAATAAATTATTGTTGACTGTAGTCACCCCATTGTGCTATCAAATACTATACCTTATTCATTCTTTCTAATTTTTTTTTTCGTACCCATTAAACATGCTCACTTTTTCTCTCCTTCCCCACTAACCTTCTCAGCCTCTGGTAACTATCATTCTACTCTCTATCTCCGTGAACTAGATTGTTTTAATTTTTGGCTCCCACAAATGTGTGAGAATATGTGAAGTTTGTCTTCCTATGCCTGGCTTATTTCACTTAACATAGTGTCCTCCAGTTCCATCCATGTTGTTGCAAATCACAGGATCTCATTCCTTTTTATGAATGACTAGCACTCCATTATGTACGTGTACCACATTTTCTTTATCCATTCATCCATTTATTCATTGATAGATACTCAGATTGATTCCAAATCTTGGCCGTTGTGAATAGTGCTGCAATAAACATGGGCGTGCAGATATCTTTTCAATATACTAATTTCCATTCTTTTAAGTCAATACCTAGCAGTGGGATTGCTAGATTATATGGTAGTTCCATTTTTAGTTTCTTGAGAAATATCCGTACTGTTCTCCACTGTGGCTTTCCTAATTTACATTCTCACCAATAGTGTACAAGGGTTCCCTTTTCTCCACATCCTCGCTAGCACTTATTCTTGCCTGTCTTTTGGATAATAACCATTTTAACTGGGGTGAGATGATATTATGTTGTAGTTTTGATTTGCATTTCTTTGATGGTCAATGATATTGAGCAACTTTTTATATATTTTGCCATTTATATATCTTCTTTTGAGAAATGTCTATTCATATCTTTTCCCCATTTTTAAGTCACATTGTTAGATTTTTTTTCCTATTGAATTGTTTGAGTTCCTCATATATTCTGGTTATTAATCTCTTATCAGATGGATAGTTTGCAAATATTTTCTCCTGTTTTGTGGGTTGTCCCTTCACTTTGTTGATTTCTTTGTTGTACAGAAGCTTTTCAACTTGATGTGATTCCATTTGTCCATTGTTGCTTTGGTGTCCTGTGCTTTTACTCAAGAAATCTTTGCCGAGACCAATGTCCTGGAGGGTTTCCCCAAAGTTTTCATATAGTAGTTTCATAGTTTGAGGTCTTAGATCCATTTAGAATGGTCTTAGATCCTTTCTAAAAAGTCTTTAATCCATTTTGATTTGATTTTTGTATATGGTGCAAGATAGGGGTCTAGTTTCTTTCTTCTGTATATGGATATCCAGTTTTCCTACTACCATTTATTGAAGAGACTGTCCTTTCCCCAATGTATATTCTTGGCATCTTTGTTGAAAATGAGTTCACTGTAGATATATGGATTTATTTCTGGGTTCTCTATTCTGTTCCATTGTTCTAGATGTCTGTATGCCAGTACTGTGCTGTTTCAGTTACTATAGCTCTGTAGAATAATTTGAAGTAAGGTAATGTGATTCCTCCAGTTTTATTCTTTTTGCTTAGGATAGGTTTGGCTACTCTGGGTCTTTTGTGATTCCATTTAAGTTTTATGATTATCTTTTCTATTTCTGTGAAGAATGTTACTGGGATTTTGACAGGGATTGAATTGAATCTGTAGATTGCTTTGGGTAGTAGGGGCATCTTAACAATATTGATTCTTCCAATGCATGAACATGAAATATCATTCCATTTTTTTGTGTGTCCTCTTCAATTTCTTTCATCAGTGTTTTATAGTTTTTATTGTACAGATTTTTCACTTCTTTGGTTAAGTTTATTCGTAGGTATTAAATCTTATTTGTAACTATCGTAAATGGGGTTTACTTCTTGATTTCTTTTTCAAATTGTTTGCTGTTGGCACATAGAAATGCTACTGATTTTTGTATGTTAATTTTGTATCCTGCAACTTTACTAAATTTGTTTATCAGTAGTAGTAGTTTTTTGGTGGAGTTTTTAGGATTTTTCAAATATCAGATTATATCATCTGCAAACAAAGATAGTTTGGCTTCTTCTTTTCCAATTTGGATGCTCTTTATTTCTTTCTCTTGTCTGATTGCTATAGCTAGGACTTCCAGTATTACATTGAAAAGAAGTGGTGATAGTGAGCATCCTTGTCTTGTTTCAGATCTTAGAGGAGATGTTTTCAATTTTTCCCCATTCAGTATGATATTAACTGTGGGTCTGTCAAATATGGCTCTTATTGTGTTGAGGTGTATTCCTTTTATACCCAGTTTTCTGAGGATATTGATCATGAAGAGATGTTAAATTCTTTCAAATGCTTTTTTCAGCATTAATTAAAATGATCATATGGTTTTTTGTCCTTCATTCTGCTAATATGATGTATCACATTGATTGATTTGCATATGTTGAAACATCCTTGCACCTCAGGGATAAAACCCACTTGGTCATGATGAATGATCAGTTTACTGTGTTGTTGAATTCAATTTGCTGGTATTTTTTATTTTTGTATCAATGTTCATCAGAGATATTTTCTGTAGTTTTCTGTTTTTGATGTGTCTTTGGCTGGTTTTTGTATCAAGGTATTACTGGCCTCATAGAATGAGTTGGGAAGTATTCCTTCCTCCTCTATTTTTCAGAATAGCTTGAGTAGGATTGGTATTAGTTCTTCTTTAAATGTTTGGTAAAGTTCGGCAGTGAAACCATAGGGTCCTGGGCTTTTCTTTGCAGGGAGACTTTTTATTATGGCTTTGATCTCATTGCTTGTTATTGATTTATTCAGGTCTTGGATTTCTTCATGTCTCAATCTTTGTAAGTTGCATGTGTCTAGGAATTTATCCAGTACTTCTAGGATTCCTGACTTATTGGCATATAGTTGTTCATAATAGTCTTTAATGATCCTTTGAATTTTGGCAATATCAGTTAAATGTTTCCTTTTTCATCTCTGACTTTTTTTTAATTTGGGTCTTCTCTCTTAGTCCAGCTAAAGGTTGGTCAATTTTGTTTATCTTTAAAAAAAAACAGCTTTTCATTTTCTTGATCATTTCTATTTTTTGGCTTCAATTTCATTTATTTCTGCTCTGATCTTTATTATTTCTTTTCTCCTAATTTTGGGTTTGGTTTGCTCTTGCTTTTCTAGTTTTTAAAGACGAATTGTTAGGTTGTTTATTGGACGTTTTTGTACTTTACTGATGTAGGTACTTACTGCTATCAACATTTCTCTTAGCTCTGCTTTTGCTGTTTTCCATAGGTTTTGTTATGTTTTGTGTCCATTTTTATTTATTTCAAGACATTTAAAAATTTCCTTCTTAATTGCTTCATTGACCCACTGGTCATTCAGAAACATATAGTTTAATTTCCATGTGTTTGTATAGTTTCCAATGTTCTTCTTATTATTGATTTCTACTTATTCCATTGAGGTCAGAGAAGATACTTAATAAAACTCTATGTTTAAAAAAGTTTTAAAGACTTGTTTTGTGGCTTAACATGTGGCCTATCCTTGAGAATGATCCATATGCTGAGGAGAAGAATGTGTATCCTGCAGCCATTGGATGAAATGTTCTGTAAATATATATTAGGTCCATTTGTTATATAAAGCAGATTAAGTCTGACATTTCTTTGTTAATTTTCTGTCTTGATGATCTGTTCAGTGCTGAAAATGGAGTGTTGGTAACTCCAGCTATTATTCTACTGGGTTCTATCTTCTCTTTAGTGCTAATATTTGCTTTATATGTCTGGGTGCTCCAGTGTTGGGTGCATATTTATAATATTTACTATTGTTATAAGCTTTTGCTCAATTGATCCTTTTATCGTTGTATGCTGACTTTGTCTCCTTTTATAGTTTTTGTCTTGAAATCTTTTTTTCTAATGTAAGTATAGCTACTCTTGCTATTTTGCAGTTTCCATTTGCATGGAATATCTTTTCCATTTCCATATTATCAGTTTATTTGTGTCTTTATAGGTGAAGTGTAGCTTCTTGTAGGCAGTAGATCATTATTTTTTAAAAATCCATTCAGCCACTCTATGTCTTTTGATTGGAGAGTTTAGTCCATTTACATTCAATATTATTGTTGATAAGTAAGGGCCTATTACTGCCATTTTGTTATGTGTTTTTTGGTTGTTTTGTGGTCTTCTCTTTTTTCTTTCCTTTCTGTCTTCCTTTTTGTGAAAGTGATTTTCTCTGGTGGTATGTTTTAATTTTGTATTTTTTTGTGTGTGTATATCTGTTGTAGGTTTTTAAATTTGAGGTTTCCATGAGGCTTGCACAAATATCTTATAACCCATTATTTTAAACTGATGAAAACTTTGCAAAAACAAACAAACAAGCAGGAAAAACTAATTAATAAGGACTCCATGCATTAACTTCATCCTCCTGCTTTTTAACTTTTTCTGTTTCTATTTATATCTTATTATATTGTCTATGTCTTAAAAAATTGTTGTAATAATTATTTTTGATAGGTTCCTCTTTTAGTCTTCTTACTCAAAATATAAGTAATTTACAGAATAAAATTAGTGTTATAATATTCTGTATTTGTCTGTGTACTTACTATTTCCAGTGAGTTTTGTACATTCAGATGATTTTTAATTGCTTGTTAATGTCTTTTTCTTTCATATTTGTAGAACTCTATTTGCCATTTCTGATGTTAATGAAATCTCAGCTATTGTTTGTCTGGGAAAGTCTTTATTTCTCCTTAATATTTAAAGGATATTTTCTCAGGATATAATATTTTATGATAAAATATTTTTTTTTCTTCAGCACTTTAAATATGTCACGCCACTCTCTCCTGGACTGTAAGGTTTCCACTGAAAAGTCTGCTGCAAGACATACTGGAGCTTCATTGTAAGTTATTTGTTTCTTTTTTCTTGCTGCTTTTAGTATCCTTTCTTTATTCTTGATCTTTGGGAGTTTGATTATTAAATGCCTTGAGGTAGTTTTGTTTGAGTTAAATCTCCTTGACGTTTTATAACCTTTTTGTACTTGAATGTTGATGTCTTTTTCTAGGTTTGGAAAGTCCTCTGTTATGTGTATCCTGTAGGTGTGCTTCATTATTTTTTATTCCTTTTCTTTTTGTCTCCTCTGACTGTGTATTTTCAAATAGTCTGTCTTTAAGCTCCCTTATTATTTCCTCTGGCTGATCAATTCTACTGTTGTGAGACTCTGATACATTCTTCGGTTTTTGATTGAATTTTTTAGCTCCAGCATTTCTACTTGGTTGTTAAAAATTATTTTAATGTTTTTGTTCAATTTATCTTATAGGATTATGAGTTCTTTCTCTGTGTTATCTTGAATTTTGCTGAATTTCCTCAACACAGCTATTTTTTTTCCTATTTTCCTTTTTAATTTATTTTTTCTTTTTTTATGCACATGCAATTCCATAACCTATTTTGAATTCTTTGTCTGAAAGGTCACATATCTCTGTCACTCTGGGACAGAGTGGGATTGATGACTCGTGCCTTATTTAGTTTGGTGAGGTTATATTTTCCTGGATGCTCTTGAGGCTTGTGGATGTTTGTCAATGTCTAGGCATTGAAGAGTTAGGTACTTATTCTAATGTTTGCAGTCTGGGCTTGTTTGTACCACCCTTCTTGAAAATGCTTTCCAGGTATTCAAGGGGAATTAGTATTATGATATAGCTCTTTGATCACTACAGCTGTACTGCATTAGGGGGCATCCTAAGCCTACTAATACTGTTACTTTTGCAGACTTGTAGAGGTACCAACTTGGGAGAATTCCCTGGATTACCAGGCATAGTCTTTTATTCTCTTCCATTACTTACTCCCAAAGAAATGGAATTTTTGTCTTCATGTACAGCTGTCTGGATTTGGAGGAGGGATGATGCAAGAACTTCCATGGCTACCACTACTGGGACTGTGCTGGATCACACCTGAAGCCAGCACAGTGCAGGTCTCACCCAAGGCCTGTGGTGACTATTGCTTGGCTACCACTTATGTTTATTCAGGACTTATGGGCTCTTTAGTCAGTAAGTGATAAATCCTGCCAGGCCTGTTTCTTTCCTTTCCCGGCAGCATGTTCCCTTCTGGCCCAGGTTGGGTCTAGAAATGCTATCCCGGAACTGGGTCCTAGAATTGACTGCTTTAGGAATAGGAATATGCATGGTGCTTTCTTTTACTGTGGTTGATCTGGTAAGCCAAGTTGCAAGATGAAGTCCTCTTTACTTTTTCTTCTCCTTTTCTCAAGCAGAAGGAGTCTCTCCCTGTGGCCAGCACTACCCCAGGCCCATGGTGACTATTTCCTGGATACTGCTTATGTTTAATCAGAAGGCGGTGAATCCTTCTAGGCCTGGATCTCTCCCTTCAGGGAAGTGGGTTCCCTTCTGTCCCAAGGCAGGTCTGCTAAAGCCATCTGTGAGCTAAGGCCTGGAATCATGGACTTTAGGAGTCTGCTTGGTACTATATTTTACTGTGGCTGGACTGGAACCCAAGTTGCAAGACAAAGTTCTTTTTACTCTTCTCTCTCCTTTCCTTAAGCAGAAGTCTTTTCCTATATCTATTACAGCTGGGAATGCACTGGGTCACATCTGAAGCCAGCATGGTACTAGGTCTTGCTCAAGCCTGTGGGAACTATTACCTGGCTACCACTGATGTTTGTTCAGGGCCCAATGGCTCTTTAGTCAGCAGGTAATGAATCCTGCCAGGACTGGGTCCTTCCTTTCAGGGCAGCAGGTTCCTTTCTGGTCCAGGGTGGGTCTAGAAATGCTGTCTGGGAGCTATCTGGAACCTAAAGCCTGGAATGAGGGCTTCAGGACTCTACTTCCTGCTTTATTTTACTGTGGCTAAGCTGGTGGCCAAGTTGTAAGACAAAGTTCTCTTTATTATCCTCTCTCTTTTCCTCAAGTAGAAGGAAGGAGTCTCTTTGGGAGCTGCAAGCTCTGCTGCCTAGAATTGCGGGAGGAGTTACATAAGAACTCCCTTGGCTGCCCTGACTTTTGTCCCACTGGGTTGCATGCAGTACAACTCCGCTGGCTCTGAGCCCACCACAGCACCACAGCTTGCCCAGGAATTGCAGCCCTTGTGGCGTAGTCTGCCTTTCAAATTTATTTATGACCCTGGAGCACTTTAGCCCATAATGGTGGGACTAGTCACAACCCAGGTTCTGACTGCTGGGATGGATAATTCCCCTCTGGCTAGGGCTATTCTGAATGTCCCCTCCATGAGCACCAGCTGAGTTCTGCCCCTGCATTGCTTTCCACTGTGTCAGGGTAGCAGTGAGTACCAATGCAAAGTCCCACAATTACTTTACTCTGCTTCTCCTGAGCACATAGATTTTCTTCCTATGCCATGTGACACTGCTGGGGGATGGTGGAAGGGTGTTGTAGGCAACTCAAGACTGTCCTATCCTATTCAGTGCATGTTTCTTTGATATAATGTTAAAACCAGGTACTGTGATTGCTCACTTGCGATATTTGGTTCTTATGAAGGTGCTTTTTTGTGTGGATAGTTGTTCAATTTGATGTTTCTGCGGGGGAGATAATCACTGAAAGGTTCTATATGGCCATCTTGCTCTGCTTCTGATCTCTGAGACAGATACTCTTTTAAAGCACCTATAGGACATTTGTGAAAATTGACTATATGTTGGGTTATAAAGCAAGTTCCAATAAATTTCAGAGGATTTAAATCATATAGAATCTGTGTTCTGACCACAGTGAAATTAAGATTAAAATTAATAACAAAAATGTAACTAGAAAAAGTCATGATTGTACCAAGAAAGTTCACTTTCACTACGTGGAACTAAGAAATAGATTTGTTGATAATCCATGAGTAAAATGAAGTCATAATGAAAATTATATGCCTTCATTAAAAAATAAGGTTCTCACATCAAAAATTTAACCTTCCAAGTTAAGATACTGGAAAAAAAAGCAGAGTAAACTCAAAGCAGGCAGAAGGAAGGAAATAACAAGGATTAGAGCATAAATTATTAAAATAGAGAACAAAAAATTGGTTGAGAAAATTAATAAAATCAAAAGTTGATACTTCAAATAAATTAACAAAATTGACAAACTTTTAGATAGACTGACCAAGAAAAAAAGATAGAAAACTCAAACCACTAAAATCAGAAACTGAGTCATTGACTCAGCTTCAGTCAAGTTGACTGAAACTGAGTCAAAAAGAAATAGAAAATCTCACAAGATCCCATAATAATAAACAGATTGGATTAATAATAATATTAATAATAAAACTTCCCACAAAGAAATGCCTAGGATTAGATGACTTCACAGGGAAATTAGACCAACATTTAAAGAAGAATCAATACCATTTTTCCACTAACTCTTCCAAAGAATAGAAAAGGAGTGGGGCTACATTTCAACTCATTCTATTAGGCCAGTATACTCTTACATAAAACCAGACAAAGACATTACAAGAAAAAAATCACGTCAATATATTTTTGAATATGAATGCAAAATTCCTCAATAAAATACCAACAACTTGAATCCAGACATATTTAAAAAGTAGTATACAACATAACCAGGCAGAATTTATTCCAGGAATGCAAGGCTGATTTAAAATCTGAAAATCAATTAATTCAATACACCATATTAATACAATAAAAACCAAAAAGCACAAGATAATCAAATTGATGCAGAATAAACATTGGCAAAATTCAACATGCTTTTATGGTTAAAAAAACACTCAAAAAACTAGGAATATGAGTGTATTTCCTCAACCAGGTAAAGGGACTCTATGAAAAACCCATAGCTAACATTATATTTAAAGATGAAAGGCTGAATGTTTTCCTCCTATGATCAGGAAGGAGGCAATGATGTCCATTCTCACTACTTATGTTCATCATTGTGCTGGAGAAATGTTTTAGTAAGTGCAATAAAAAGAAGGATGCAAGAAAAAGAAACAAGTCTTCTAGATTGGAACAAAAGAAATAAAACCATCTCTATTTCCAGATGACATGATATTGTATGTAGAAAACCCTGAGGTATCTTTAAAAAAACAAAACTAATATATGAGTTTAACAAATTTGCAAGATCCAAGATCAATATACATAAATCAACTCTATTCCTATGTAATAGCAATGAGCAAACAAGAAATAAAATGAAGAAAACCACTTTATTTATAATAGTATGAAAAGAATAAAATAGGAATAAACTTAACAAAAGAAGTAAAACTTACACTCTGAAAACTATAAAACACAACTCATTTTAGTGGATTGGAGGACTTAATATTTTTAAAATGCTTATCCACCCCTGAACTGATATACAAATTTGATACAGTACCTATTAAAATCCCAGCTGGCTTCTTTGCAGAAATGCACAAGCAGATTCTAAAATTTAGATGAAAATTCGAGGGACCCAGAGTAGCCAGGAAAATAATTGACAAAGAACAAAGTTGGAAGATTCATATTTCCTGGTTTCAAAACTCGCTACAAAGTTACAGTAATCAAGACAATGTAGGATTGGCATAAGAAAAAACATACAAATAAATGGAATGGAATTGAGAAGCCAGAAAACAAAAACATGAATCTATGGTTGACTGATTCTCAACAAGTGTGCTAAGGCAATCAGGCAGGAGAAGGAAATACAGGGTATTCAATTAGGAAACGAGAAAGTCAAATTGTCCCTGTTTGCAGATGACATGATTGTATATCTAGAAAACCCCATCGCCTCAGCCCCAAATCTCCTTAAGCTGATAGGAAACTTCAGCAAAGTCTCAGGATAAAAAATCAGTGTGCAAAAATCACAAGCATTCTTATACACCAATAACAGACAAACAGAGAGCCAAATCATCAGTGAACTCCCATTCATAATTGCTTCAAAGAGAATAAAATACCTAGGAATCCAACTTACAAGGGATGTGAAGGACCTCTTCAAGGAGAACTACAAACCACTGCTCAATGAAATAAAAGAGGATACAAACAAATGGAAGAACATTCCATGCTCATGGGCAGGAAGAATCAATATCATGAAAATGGCCATACTGCCCAAGGTAATTTATAGATTCAATGTCATCCTCATCAAGCTACCAATGACTTTCTTCACAGAACTGGAAAAAACTACTTTAAAGTTCATATAGAACCAAAAAAGAGCCCGTATTGCCAAGTCAATCCTAAGCCAAAAGAACAAAGCTGGAGGCATCATGCTACCTGACTTCAAACTACACTACAAGGCTACAGTAACCAAAACAGCATGGTACTGGTACCAAAACAGATATATAGACCAATGGAACGAACAGAACAGAGTCCTCAGAAATAATGCCACGTATCTACAACTATCTGATCTTTGGCAAACCTGACAAAAACAAGAAATGGGGAAAGGATTCCCTATTTAATAAATGGTGCTGGGAAAACTCCCTAGCCATATGTAGAAAGCTGAAACTGGATCCCTTCTTACACCTTATACAAAAATTAATTCAAGATGGATTAAAGACTTAAATGTTAGACCTAAAACCATAAAAACCCTAGAAGAAAACCTAGGCAATACCATTCAGGACATAGGCATAGGCAAGGACTTCATGTGAAAACACCAAAAGCAATGGCAACCAAAGCCAAAATTGACAAATGGGATCTAATTAAACTAAAGAGCTTCTGCACAGCAAAAGAAACTACCATCAGAGTGAACAGGCAACCTACAGAATGGGAGAAAATTTTTGCAATCTACCCATCTGAGAAAGGGCTAATATCCAGAATCTGCAAAGAACTCAAACAAATTTACAAGAAAAAAACAAACAACCCCATCAAAAAGTGGGCAAAGGATATGAACAGTCACTCATCAAAAGAAGACATTTATGCAGCCAAAAGACACATGAAAAAATGCTCATTATCGCTGGCCATCAGAGAAATGCAAATCAAAACCACAATGAGATACCATCTCACACCAGTTAGAATGGCAATCATTAAAAAGTCAGGAAACAACAGGTGCTGGAGAGGATGTGGAGAAATAGGAATGCTTTTACACTGTTGGTGGGACTGTCAACCATTGTGGAAGTCAGTGTGGCGATTCCTCAGGGATGTAGAACTAGAAATACCATTTGACCCAGCCATCCCATTACTGGGTATATACCCAAAGGACTATAAATCATGCTGCTATAAAGACACATGCACACGTATGTTTATAGTGGCACTATTCACAATAGCAAAGACTTGGAACCAACCTAAATGTCCAACAACGATAGACTGGATTAAGAAAATGTGGCACATATACACCACGGAATACTATGCAGCCATAAAAATGATGAGTTCATGTCCTTTGTAGGGACATGGATGAAACTAGAAACCATCATTCTCAGGAAACTATCGCAAGACAAAAACCAAACACTGCCTGTTCTCACTCATAGGTGGGAATTGAACAATGAGATCACATGGAAGGGGAACATCACACACCGGGGTCCGTTGTGGGGTTGGAGGAGGGGGGAGGGATAGCATTAGGAGATATACCTAATGTTAAATGACCAGTTAATGGGTGCAGCACACCAACATGGCATATGTATACATATGTAAGAAACCTGCACATTGTGCACATGTACCCTAAAACTTAAAGTATAATAAAAAAAAAAGTGTGCTGAGACAATTCAATGGGGAAAAGAATAGTCTTTCAACAAGTGCTGGTGGGACATAACCACATGCAAAAGAATGAAGTTGGACCACTACCTCACACCATGTACAAAAGTCAACTAAAAGTGAATCAAAGACTTAAATGTCAGAGCAGAGAGTTTTGTAACTCTTAGAAGAAATCATAGGTGTAAATCTTTGTGACCTTGAATGAGGTAATACTTTCTTAAATATAACAACAAAAGCATAAGCAACCAAGGAAATATAGATGAATTGGATTTTAACAGAATTAAAAACTTTCGTGCTTCAAAGGACATTATCACATAAATGAAGATAAACCACAAAATTGGAGAAGATATTTGCAGTTCATATATCTGAAGAGTCTACTATCAAGAATATATAAAAAAGTACTGCAATTCAATAATAAAAGGGTAAATAATTAAAAATGGGCAAAGTATTTGAATAGACAGCTTTCCAAACAAGATATACAAATGGCCAGTTATATGAGAAATTCTCAATATCATTAGCCATCAGAGAATTGCTAATTTCACTTCATACTCACTAAAATGGCTATAGTAAAGAAGACACATAATAACAAGTGTTAGAAAAATTGGAACCCTCTTGCACTACTGGTGGGAATGTAAAATGGTGCAGCTACATTGGGAAACAATCTGGCAGTTCTTCAAATGACTAAACATGGAATGATCAAATGATCTGGTAATTCCGCTACTAAGGATATACTTCCAAGAAATGAGAACATATGTCCACACAAAAGCTTACGCATGAATGTTCATGGTGGCATTATTAATAATATCCCCAAATTTGAAACATCCCAAATGTCAATCAACTGATGAATGAATAAGTAAAATGTGATACACCCATAAAATGAAACAGTATTTAGTGATAAAAATAAATTAAATACTAGTGAGCCTTGACAACATTATGCTAACTGAAAGAAGCAAGTCACAAAGGACCACATGTTATACAATTCTATTTATATGAAGTATCCAGAATAGGCAAAGCTACAGATACAGAAGATAGATTAGTAGTAGTAGATTGTGTATTAATAGTATCCTAAGCCTACGTAGGATTGGGAGATGGGAGGGCACAATAGTTAAAGTGAGTGGAGTTTTTTTCTGAAGTAATACAAGTGTTCTTAAATTGATTGTGGGGATGGATGTAAAACTCAGTGAATCTACCAAAAGCCATTAAACTGTACATTTTAAATGGGCAAAGTATGTAATATTTGAGTGATCTGTGTTATATTGGATGAGTTATGGTGGCTTGTACTTTTTGAGGAATTGGTCTATTTCATCAAAGTTGTCAAATTCATAGGTGAAGAGTTATTAATTAATAATATTCCCTTATAACCCTTTGATGTTTGCAGGGTCCCCAGTTTCATTTTTGATATTAGTAATTTATGTCATCACTCTTCTTTTTATTTGGCAGTCTTGCTAAGGCTTATGAATTTTACCAATCTTTTAAAAGATGCAGCTTTTGGTTTCATTGATTTTTCTACTGCTTTCCTGTTTTTGGTTTTATTAATTTCTATTCTTATATTTATTATTTCTCCTTCTACTTGCTTTGTGTTTAATTGTTCTTAGATTTTTAGTTCCTTGAGATGGAAGCTTCGGTTACCTATCTGAGACTTTTCCTGATTTCCAACATATGCATTTAGCGCTATAAATTTCCCTTTCAGCACTGCTTTTGCTGTATCCCACAACTATGGAAAATTTGTATTTCATTTTCATTGAGTTCAATGTATTCTTCTTGAGGTGTCTGCTTTGATGCATGAATTATATAGAAGTGTATTATTTAGTTCCCAAGAACTTGGAACTTTTCCTATTATCTTTCCACTTTAAAATTTGAGTTTCAATTCATTGTGATCAGAGAACAGCTTTTGTATTATTCTAATTTTTAAAAAGTTTGTTGAGGTTTGTATTATGGCCAAGGATATAATCTATCTTAGTTTATATTTTGTATGCACTTAAAAAGAATGTGTATTTTGTTCTTGTTGGGTCTTTTTGACACTTACTTGTTTTATAAATTTCAATTAGATTCTGTTGGTTTTTACTATTATTGAGCTATTTAACAGTCTTGTTAATTTTTTGTATAGCGATTCTACCAATTGCTAATTGAGGGGTTTTGACTTCTCCAAATATAATTGTGAATTAGTTTATTTCATTCTTAATATTTATCAGGTTTTACTTTACATGTTTTGGCTCTATTTTTGGTGCATATAGATTTAGGATTGCTGTCTTTTTGTTGGATGACTCTTTTATTCTCATATATTGTCCTTTTGTATCTGTAGTAATTGTATTTGTTCTGAAGTGTTTTTTATCTGAAATTAATTTAGCGTCTCTTACTTTTCTTTCATTAATGTTTTCATGACATATCTTTATCCTTTTACCTTAACCTGTCTATATCATATTTGAAGTTAGTTTCTTGTAGATAGTATACTTGTGGACCATGTTTTTACTACACTCTGATAATCTCTGTCTTTTAGTTTTAACGTGAAGGTATTTAAACCATTTACATTTAATGTAGTTATAGATAAGTTAAGGTTTGAGTTTGCTGTTTTATTTATTTATTTATATATATATATATTTATTATACTTTAAGTTTTAGGGTACATGTGCACAACGTGCAGGTTTGTTACATATGTATACATGTGCCATGTTGGTGTGCTGCACCCATTAACTCGTCATTTACATTAGGTATATCTCCTAATGCTATCCCTCCCCCTTCCCGCAACCCCGGTGTGTGATGTTCCCCTTCCTCTGTCCATGTGTTCTCATTGTTCAATTCCCACCTATGAATGAGAACATGCAGTGTTTGGTTTTTTGTCCTTGCGATAGTTTGCTGAGAACGATGGTTTCCAGCTTCATCCATGTCCCTACAAAGGACATGAACTCATCCTTTTTTATGGCTGCATAGTATTCCATGGTGTATATGTGCCACATTTTCTTAATCCAGTCTATCATTTTTGGACATTTAGGTTGGTTCCAAGTCTTTGCTATTGTGAATAGTACCGCAATAAACATACGTGTGCATGTGTCTTTATAGCAGCATGATTTATAATCCTTACTGGGTATATACTGGTATATACCCAGTAATGGGATGGCTGGGTCAAATGGTATTTCTAGTTCTAGATCCCTGAGGAATTGCCACACTGACTTCCACAATGGTTGAACTAGTTTACAGTCCCACCAACAGTGTAAAATTGTTCCTATTTCTCCACATCCTCTCCAGCACCTGTTGTTTCCTGACTTTTTAATGATCGCCATTCTAACTAAAACACCAAAAGCAATGGCAACAAAAGCCAAAATTGACAAATAGGATCTCATTAAACTAAAGAGCTTCTGCACAGCAAAGGAAACTACCATCAGAGTGAACAGGCAACCTACAGGATGTGAGAAAATTTTTGCAATCTACTCATCTGACAAAGGGCTAATATCCAGAATCTGCAAAGAACTCAAACAAATTTACAAGAAAAAACAAACAACTCCATCAACAAGTGGGCGAAGGATATGAACAGACACTCCTCAAAAGAAGACATTTATGAAGCCAAAAGACACATGAAAAAATGCTCATCATCACTGGACATCAGAGAAATGCAAATCAAAACCACAATGAGATACCATCTCACACCAGTTAGAATGACCATCATTATTTTTGTTTTGTGTTGGTTCTCTCTGTTCTTTGTTACTCTGTTTTCTTTTTCCTGCCTTCCATGGGTTATCTAAACATTTTTTTAAATTCCATGTTAATTTGTTAATAGTGTCCTTGAATGTGTCTCTTTGTATAGTTTCTTTGTTTTTCCATAGCATATCTATATCTATATAATTATCTCTTATTGCAGTCTACAGATGTAGTCATTTTACCCGTTCAAGTAATATACAATAATGTATCATATTTTAAGCCTATTTACACTTTACAGCCTATTACTCTTTATTTTTTTAAATTATACTTTAAGTTCTGGGATACATGTGCAAAACATGCAGGTTTGTTACATAGGTATATGCGTGCCATAATGGTTTCCTGCACCCATCAACCCATCATCTACATTAGGTATTTTTCCTAATGCTATCCCTCCCTTGCCCCCGACACCACAACAGGACCTGTTGTGTGATGTTCCCCTCACTGTGCCCATTTGTTCTGATTGTTCAACTCTCCCTTATGAGTGAGAGCATGTGGAGTTTGGTTTTTTGTTCCTGTGTTAGTTTGTTGAGAATGATGGTTTCCAGTTTCATCCATGTCCCTGCAAAGGACATGAACTCATCCTTTTTTATGGCTGCACAGTATTCCATGGTGCATATGTGCCACATTTTCTTTATCTAGTATATCATGGATGGGCATTTTGGTTGGTCCCAAGTCTTTGCTATTGTGAATAGTGCTGCAATAAACATATGTGTGCATATTTTTATAGTAAAATGATTTATAATCCTTTGGGTATATACCCAGTAATGGGATTGCTGGGTGAAATGGTATTTCTAGATCCTTGAGGAATCGCCACACTGTCATCCACAATGGTTGAACTAATTTACAGTCCCACCAACAGCATAAAAGTGTTTCTATTTCTCCACATCCTCTCCAGCACCTGTTGTTTCCTGACTTTTTAATGATCACCATTCTAACTGGCGTGATATGGTATCTCACTGTGGTTATGATATGCATTTCTCTAATGACCAGTGATGATGACCTTTTTTTTTTCATATGTTTGTTGGCTGCATAAAGACAGTTATGCAGCCAAAAGACACATGAAAAAATGTTCATCATCACTGGTCATCAGAGAAATGCAAATCAAAACCACAATGAGATACCACCTCACACCAGTTAGAATGGCAATCATTAAAAAGTCAGGAAACAACAGGTGCTGGAGAGGATGTGGAGAAACAGGAATGCTTTTACGCTGTTGGTGGGAGTGTAAATTCATTCAACCATTGTGGAAGTCAGTGTGGTGATTCCTCAGGAATCTAGAACTAGAAATACCATTTGACCCAGCCATCCCATTACTGGGTATATACCCAAAGGATTATAAATCATGCTGCTATAAAGACACATGAACACATATGTTTATTGCGGCACTATTCACAATAGCAAAGACTTGGAACCAACCTAAATGTCCAAAAATGACAGACTGGATTAAGAAAATGTGGCACATACACACCATGGAATACTATGCAGCCATAAAAAAGGATGAGTTCATGTCCTTTGCAGGGACATGGATGAAGCTGGAAACCATCATTCTCAGCAAACTATTGCAAGGACAAAAAACCAAACACTGCATGTTCTCACTCATAGGTGGGAATTGAACAATGAGAACACATGGACACAGGAAGGGGAACATCACACACCCGGGCCTGCTGTGGGGTTGCGGGAGGGGGGTGGGATAGCATTAGGAGATATACCTAATGTTAAATGATGAGTTAATGGGTGTAGCACACCAACATGGCACATGTATACATATGTAACAAACCTGCACGTTGTGCACATGTACCCTAAAACTTAAAGTATAATTAAAAAAAAAAGAAAAGTGTCTGTCATATCCTTTACCCACTTTTTGATGGGGTTGTTTTTTTCTTGTAAATTTGTTTAAGTTCCTTGTAGATTCTGAATATTAATTAGCCCTTTGTCAGATGGATAGATAGCAAAAATTTTCTCCCATTCTGTAAATTGCCTGTTCACTCTGATGATTGTTTCTTTGACTGTTCAGAAGTTCTGTAGTTTAATTAGGTCCCATTTGTCAATTTTGGCTTTTTTTGGAATTGCTTTTGGTGTTTTAGTCCTGAAGTCTTTGCTCTCACCTATATCGTGAATGGTATTGCCTAGGTTTTCTTCTAGGGTTTTTATCGTTTTAGGTCTTATGTTTAAGTCTTTAATCCATCTTGAGTTAATTTTTGTATAAGGTGTAAGGAAGGAGTCCAGTTTCAGTTTTCTGCATATGGCTAGCCAGTTTTTCCAAAACCATTTTTTAAATAAGGAATCCTTTCCCCACTGCTTGTTTTTATCAGGTTTCTCAAAGATCAGATGATTGTAGATATGTGGCATTATTTCTGAGGCCCCTTGTTCTGCTCCATTGGTCTATATATCTGTTTTGGTACCAGTACTATGCTGTTTTGCTTACTGTAGCCTTGTAGTATAGTTTGAAGTCAGGTAGCATGATGTCTCCAGCTGTGTTCTTTTTGCTTAGGATTGTCTTGGCTATATGGGCTCTTTTTCAGTTCCATATGAAATTTAAAGTAGATTTATCTAATTCTGTGAAGAAAGTCAATGGTAGCCTGATGGGGATAGCATTGACTCTATAAATTACTTTGGGCAGTATGGCCATTTTGATGATATTGATTCTTCCTATCCATGAGCATGGAATGTTCTCCATTTGTTTGTGTCCTCTCATTTCCTTGAGCAGTGGTTTGCAGTTCTCCTTGAAGAGGTCTTTCCCATCCCTTGTAAGTTGGATTCCTAGGTATTTTATTCTGTTTGTAGCAATTGTGAATGAGAGTTCACTCATAATTTGGCTCTCTGTTTGTCTGTTATTGGTGTATAGGAATGCTTGTGATTTTTGCACATTGATTTTGTATCCTGAGACTTTGCCAAAGTTGCTTATCAGCTGAAGGAGTTTTTGGGCTGAGACAATGGGGTTTTCTAAATCTACAATCATGTCATCTAAAAACAGAGACAATTTGATTTCCATGCTTTCTATTTGAATACACTTTATTTCTTTCTCTTGCCTGATTGCCCTGGCCAGAGCCTCCAACACTATGTTGAATAGGAGTGGTGAGAGAAGGCATCCTTGTCTTGTGCCAGTTTTCAAAGGCAATGCTTTCAGCTTTTGCCCATTTAGTGATATTGGCTGTGGGTTTGTCAAATACCATTTATTATTTTGAGACATGTTCCATCAATACCTAGTTTATTGAGTGTTTTTAGCATGAAGGAGTGTTGAACTTTCAGAAAGGCCTTTTCTGCATCTATTGAGATAATCATGCGGTTTTTGTCATTGGTTCTCTTTATGTGTTGGATTACGCTTATTGATTTGTGTATATTGAACCAGCCTTGCATCTCAGGGATGTAGCCGACTTGATCATGGTGGATAAGCTTTTTGATGTGCTGCTGGATTCAGTTTTTCAGTATTTTATCGAGGATTTTCACATCAACGTTCATCAGGGATATTGGCCTGAAATTTTCTTTTTTTGCTGTGTCTCTGCCAGGTTTCAGTATCAGGATGATGCTGGCCTCATAAAATGAGTTAGGGAGGAGTCCCTCTTTTTCTATTATTTGGAATAGTTTCAGAAGGAATGGTACCAGCTCCTCTTTGTATCTCTGGTAGAATTTGGCTGTGAGTTCATCTGGTCTTGGAGTTTTTTTTTTTGGTTGGTAGGCTATTAATTACTGCCTCAATTTCAGAATGTGTTATTGGTCTATTCAGGGATTCTATTTCTTTCTGGTTTAGTCTTGGGAGGGTGTATGTGTCCAGGAATTTATCCATTTCTTCTAGATGTTCTAGTTTATTTGCATAGAGTTGTTTATAGTATTCTCTGATGGTTGTTTGTATTTCTCTGGGATCAGCAGTTATATCCCTTTTATCAATTTTTATTGTGTCTATTTGATTCTTCTCTCTTTTCTTCTTTATTAGTCTGGCTAGCAGTCTGTCTAATTAGATGGTCTAACAAAACTCTGTTCAGTTTTGTTCCTTCTTTTAAAAAAACCAGCTCCTGGATTCATTGATTTTTTTGAAGGGTTTTTCATGTCTCTATCTCCTTCAGTTCTGCTCTGATCTTAGTTATTTCTTGTCTTCTGCTAGTTTTTGAATTTGTTTACTCTTGCTTCTCGAGTTCTTTTAATTGTGATGTTAGGGTGTCGATTTTAGATCTTTCCCACTTTCTCATGTGGACATTTAGTGTTATAAATTTTCCTCTAAACATGGCTTTAGCTGTGTCTCAAAGAACTTATTTATTTCTGACTTAATTTCGTTATTTACCCAGCAGTCATTCAGGAGCAGGGTTGTTCAGTTTCCATGTAGTTGTGCAGTTTTGAGTGAGTTTCTTAATCCTGAGTTCTAATTTGATTGCACTGTGGTCTGAGAGACTGTTTGTTATAGTTTCCATTCTTTTTCATTTGCTGAGGAGTGTTTTACTTCCAATTATGTGGTCAATTTTAGAATAAGTACTATGTGATGCTGTGAAGAATGTATATTCTGTTTACTTGGGGTGGAGAGTTCTGTGGATGTCTATTAGGTCTGCTTCATCCAGAGTTGAGTTCAAGTCCTGAATAACCTTGTTAATTTTTTTTCTCGTTGGTCTGTCTAATATTGACAGTGGGGTGTTAAAGTCTCCCACTATTATTGCGTGAGAGTCTAAGTCTCTTTTTAGGTCTCTAAGAACTTGCTCTATAAATCTGAGTCCTCCTGTATTGGGTGCATATAAATTTAGGAGAGTTAGCGCTTCTTGTTGCATTGATCCCTTTACCATTATGTAATGCCCTTCTTTGTCTTTTTTGATCTTTGTTGGTTTAAAGTCTGTTTTATCAGAGACTAGGATTGTAACGTCTGCTTTTCTTTTTGCTCTCTATTTACTTGGTAAATATTCCTCCATCCCTTTATTTTGAGCCTATGTGTGTCTTTGCACATGAGATGGGCTCCTAAATACAGCACACTGATGGGTCTTGACTCTATCCAATTTGCCATTCTGTGTCTTTTAATTGGGGTATTTAGCCCGTTTACATTTAAGATTAATATTGTTAAGTATGAATTTGATCCTGTCATTATGATGTTAGCTGGTTATTTTGGCCGTTAGTTGATGCAGTCTCTTCACAGTGTCGATGGTCTTTACAATTTGTTATGTTTTTGCAGTGTCTGGTATTGGTTTTTCCTTTCCATATTTGGTGCTTCCTTCAGGAGCTCTTGTAGTGCAGGCCTGATGGTGACAAAATCCCACAGGATTTGCTTGTCTGTAAAGGATTTTATTTCTTCTTCACTTATGAAGCTTAGTTTGGCTGGATATGAAATTTTGGGTTGAAAATATTTTTTTTTAAGAATGTTGAATATTGGCCTTCACTGTCTTCTGGCTTGTAGGGTTTCTGCAGAGAGATCCGCTGTTAGTCTGATGGACTTCCCTTTGTGGGTAACCCGACCTTTCCCTCTGACTACCCTTAACATTTTTTCCTTAATTTCAACCTTGGTGAATCTGATGATTATGTGTCTTGGGGTTGCTCTTCTAGAGGAGTATTTTTGTGGTGTACTCTATATTACCTGAATTTGAACGTTGGCCTGTCTTGTTTGGTTGGGGGAGTTCTGCTGGATAATATCCTGAAGAGTGCTTTCCAACTTGGTTCCACTCTCCCTGTCACTTTCAGGTACATCAATCAAACATAGGTTTGGTCGTTTCTCATAGTGCCATATTTCTTGAAGTCTTTGTTTCTTTTCATTCTTTTTTCTCTACTCTTGTCTGCCTGCTTTATTTCATTAAGTTGATCTTCAATATTTGGTATTCTTTCTTCTGCTTGATCAATTCAGCTGTTTATACTTTTGTATGCTTCACGAAGTTCTTGTGCTGTGTTTTTCATTTCCATCAGGTCGTTTATGTTCTTCTCTAAACTGGTTATTGTAGTTCAGAATTCCTCTAACCTTTTTTCAAGGTTCTTAGCTTTCTTGCATTGCATTAGAACATGCTCCTTTAGCTCGAAGGAGTTTGTTATTATCCACCTTCTGAAGCCTACTTCTGTCAATTTGTCAAACTCATTCTCCATCCAGTTCTGTTCCCTTGCTGGTGAGGAGTTGTGATCCCTCGGAGGAGAAGAGCCATTCTGGTTTTTTTGAATTTTTGGCTTTTTTGTGTTTCTTTTTCCTCATCTTCATGGATTTATCTTCCTTTGGTCTTTGATGTTGGTGATCTTTGTATGGGGTTTTTGCGTGGGCGTCCTTCTTGATGTTGATGCTATTGCTTTCAGTGTATTAGTTTTCCTTCTAACAGTTGGGCCTCTCTTTTGCAGGTCTGCTGGAGTTTGTGGGAGGTCCACTCCAAACCCTGTTTGCCTGGGTATCACCAGTGGAGGCTGCAGAACAGCAAAGATTTCTGCCTGCCTCTTTCTCTGGAAGCTTCATCCCAGAGGGGCACCTGCCAGATGCCAGCTGCAGCTCTCCTGTATGAGGTGTCTGTTGACCCCTGCTGGGCGGTGTCTTCCCATCAGGAGACAAGGGGGTCAGGGACCCACCTGAGGAGGCAGTCTGTCCCTTAGCAGAGCTCTAGCACCGTGCTGAGAGATCTGCTGTCCTCTTCAGAGCCAGCAGGCAGGAATGATTAAGTCTGCTGAAGTTGCACCCACAGCTGCCTTTTCCCCCAGGTGCTCTGTCCCAGGGAGATAGGAGTTTTATCTATAAGCCCCTGACTGGGCTGCTGCCTTTCTTTCAGAGATGCCCTGCCCAGAGAGAAGGAATCTAGAAAGGCAGCAGTCTGCCTACAGTGGCTTTGTGGCGCTGAGGAGGTCTCTGCCCAGTCGAAAATTCCAGGCTGTGGCTTTGTTTACACTGTGAGGGGAAAACTGCCTACTCAAGCCTCAGTAATGGCAGACCTCCCTCCCCCCACCAAGCTGGAGTGTCCCAGATCAACTTCAGACTGCTGTACTGGCAGCGAGAATTTTAAGCCAGTGGATCTTACTTTGTTGGGCTCTGTTCAGGTGGATTCTGCTGAGCAAGACCACTCGGCTCCCTGGTTTCAGCCCTCTTTCCAGGGGGTGAACAGTTCTGTCTCACTTGTGTTCCAGGTGCCACTGGGGGAAAAAAAAGCCTCCTGAAGCTAGCTCTGTGTCTGCCCAGTTTTGTGCTTGAAACCCAGGGCCCTGGTGCTGTAGGCAACCGAGGGAGTATCCTGGTCTGCGGGTTGTGAAGATGGTAGGAAAAGCATAGTATCTGGGCCGGATAGCACCCTTCCTCATGGCACAGTCCCTCATGGCTTCCCTTGGCTAGGGGAGGGAGTTTCCTGACCCCTTACACTTCCCGGGTGAGGCAATGCCTCACCTTGCCTCTGCTTGCCCTCCATGGGCTGTACCCACTGTCTAACCAGTCCCAATGAGATGAAATAGGTACCTCAGTTGGAAATGCAGAAATCACCTGCCTTCTGTATTGGTCTCGCTGGGAGCTGTAGACTGAAGCTGTTCCTATTTGGCCATCTTGTTCAGGAATCCAGTCCCACTGCTGCTTGTCAGTTTTTTCAAAGATCAGATAGTTGTAGCTGTGCAGTTTTATTTCTGCGTTCTCTATTCTGTTCTATTGGTCTACGCCTCTGTTCTCGTACCAGTACCATGCTGTTTTGGTTATGGTAGCCCTACTGTATAGTTTGAAGTAAGGGAGTGTGATGCCTTTAGCTTTGTTCTTTTTGCTTAGAATTGTCTTGGCTATTTGGGCTCTCTTTTGGTTCCATATAAATTTTAAAATAGTTTTTTTTTCTGATTCTGTGAAGAATGTCAATGGAGTTTAATGGGAATAGCACTGAATCTATAAATTACTTTGTGCAGTATGGCCATTTTCAAAATATTGAATCTTCCTATCTGTGAGCATAGATTTTTTTTTATTTGTTTGTGTCTTCTCTGATTTCTTTGAGCAGTGGTTTGTAGTTCTCCTTGAAGAGGTCCTTCACTTCCCTTGTTAGCTGTATGGCTAGGTATTTTATTCTTTTTATAGCAATTGTGAATGTGGGTTCCCTTGTGATTTGGCTCTCTGCTTGTCTATTGTTGGTGTATAGAAATGTTAGCGATTTTTTCACATTGATTTTGTATCCTGAGACTTTGCAAAGGTTTCATGATGAAGATGCCAAAAGCAATTGAAACAAAAGCAGAAATTGACAAATGGGAACTAATTAAACTCAAGAGCTTCTGCACAGCAAAAGAAACTATCAACAGGCAACCTACAGAATGGGAGAAAAATTTTGTTATCTATTCATCTGACAAAGGTCAAATATCCAGCATCTATAAGGAACTTAAACAAATTTACAAAAAAAAAAAAAAAAAAACCAAAACAAACAACCCCATTAAAAAGTGGGCAAAGGATATGAACAGACACTCCTCAAAAGAAGACATACATGTGGTCAACAAACATATGAAAAAAAGCTTAACATCAGTGATCATTAGAGAAATGCAAATCAAAACCACAATGAGATACCATCTCACACCAGTCAGAATGGCTACTATTAAAAAGTCAAAAAAACAACAGATGCTGGTGAGGTTGTGGAGGAAAAGGAACACTTCTACACTGTTGGTGGGAGTATAAATTAGTTCAACCATGTAGAAGACAGTGTGGCAATTCCTCAAAGACCTACAGGCAGAAATACTATTTGATCCAGCAATCCCACTACTGGGCATATACCCAAAGGAATATAAATCCTTCTGTTATAAAGACACATGCACGCATGTGTTCACTGCCTCAGTGTTTACAATAGCAAAGACATGGCATCAACCTAAATGCCCATCATTGATTGACTAGAGAAAGAAAATGTGGTACATATATACCATGGAATACTACACAGCCATAGAAAGGAATGAGACCAGGTCTTTTTCATGGACATGGAAGGGGCTGGAGGCCATTATCCTTAGCAAACTAATGCAGGAACAAAAACCAACTACCATGTATTCTCACTTATAAGTGGGAGCTGAATGATGAGAATACACGGACACCTGGAGGGGAACAACACACACTGGGGCCTGTTGGCGGGTGGGGGGGTGGGAGGAGAGAGAGTATCAGAAAGAAAAACTAATGAATACTGGACTTAATAACTGGGTGATAGGATGATCTGTGCCGCAAACCATCATGACACACCTTTACCTATATAACAAACCTGCACATCCTGCACATGTATCCTTGAACTTAAAATAAAAGTTGAAAAAAGAATAAGGCTTCTATCTTTCACCCACACATCAATCCCAGAAACAAACTCTGAATGGCCCTATTTGGAGCGCATGCCTACTCCTGAAGTAATCCCTGTGATTGGGGGATGTGACACTATAAGTGGCCCAGCCTGAGCCACATCATATGTCCTCTTCTTTGGCATCAATGTTAGAAGTCAGGACACCATAACAGAGAGGTCCACCAGTGGCTCATACACTATGACTACTGCTTGGGAGCAGAGAGGGATAAAGGCATAGAAGTGGCAGTAATGGGGATGTGTTGGTGGTGAAAGCAGATTTCACATTTTTTCTCTGTTTATTATTTTAATTTTTAATGAATAACTTGCATTCACACTATATATTTTTGAATAATAGTTTCTCACACCACATAAGAAAACGGGTATTGACACAAGACAAGGATGCCCTCTTTCACCATTCCTATTCAACATAGTTTTGGGAGTTCTGGCCAGGGCAACCAAACAAGAGAAAGAAAGAATTCAAAGAGGAAAAGGGGAAGTCAAACTGCCTCTATTTTCAGATGACATAATCCTATATCTAGAAAACCCCATTATCTCCACCCAAAAGCTTCTTAAGCTAATAAACAACTTCAGCAAAGTCTCAGGACACAAAATCAATGTGCAAAAATCACAAGCATCCCTATACACTAACAGCAGAGAAGCAGAGAGCCGAATCATAAATGAATTCCCATTCAAAATTGCTACAAAGAGAATAAAATACCTAGGAAAACTGCTAAGAAGGGAAGTGAAGGACATCTTCAGGGAGAACTACAAATCACTGCTCAAGGAAATGAGAGGACACAAACAAATGGAAAAACATTCCATATTCATGGATAGGAAGAATCAATATTGTAAAAATGGCCATACTACCCAAAGTAATTTATAGATTCAATGCTATTCCCATTAAACTCCATTGACATGCTTCACAGAATTAGAAAAAACAATTTTAAAATTAATATGGAACCAAAAGGAGCCCATAGAGCCAAGGCAATCTTAAGCAAAACGAACAAAGCAGGAGGCATCACACTACCTAACTTCAAACTATACTACAGGGCTACTGTAACCAAAACAGCATGGTACTGGTACAAAAACAGACACATAGACCAAAGGAATAGAATAGAGAATTTAGAAATAAGACCGCACATCTACAACCATCTGATCTTCGACAAATCTGACAAAAAGAAGAAATGGGGAAAGGATTCCCTACTTAATAAATGATGCTGAGAAAACTGGCTAGCCATATGCATAAAGGAACTGGACCCCTTCCTTACACCTTATACAAAAACTAACTCAAGATAGATTAAAGATTTAAATTTAAGCCCAAAATTATAAAAACCCTAGAAGAAAATCTAGGCAGTAGCATTTAGGACATAGGCATAGGCAAAGATTTCATGATGAAAATATGAAAAGCAATTGCAACAAAAGCAAAAATTTACAAAAGAGATCTAATTAAACTAAAGAGCTTCTGCACAGCAAAAGAAACTATCATCAGAGTGAACAGGCAACTTACAGAATGGGAGAAAAACTTTGCCATCTATCCATCTGACAAAGATCTAATATCCAGAATTTACAAGGAAATTAAAGTTACAAAAAAGCAAACAAACAAACAAAACAAACAAACAAACAAAAAATCCCATTAAAAAGTAGGCAAGGGACATGAACAGACATTTTTCAAAAGAAGACAGTTATGCGGCCAACAAACATGAAAAAAAAGCTCAGTGTCACTGATCATTAGAGAAATGCAAATCAAAACCACAATGAGATACCATTTCATGCCAGTCAGAATGGCTATTATTAAAGTTAAGAAACAACAGATGCTGGTGAGGCTATGGAGAAATAGGAACGCTTTTACACTGTTGGTGGGAATGTAAATTAGTTCAACCATTGTGGAAGATAGTGTGGTGATTCCTCAAATACCTAGAACCAGAAATATCATTTGACCCAGCAATTTCATTACAGTGTATATACCCAAAGGATATAAATCATTCTTTCTATTATAAGGATACATGCACATACATGTTCATTGGAGCACTAGTCACAATAACAAACACATAGAATCAACCCAAATGCCCATCAGTGATAGACTGGAGAAAGAAAATGTGGTACATATACACCACGGAATACTTTTTATGCAGCCATAAAAAGGAACGAGATCATGTCCTTTGCAGGGACATGTATGGGGCTGGAAGCCATTATCCTCAGCAAACATAGGAGCAGAAAACCAAACACTGCATGTTCTCACTTATAAGTGGGATCTGAACCATGAGATCACACGGACACAGGGAGGGGAACAACACACACTGGGACCTGTTGTGGGGATGGGGAGAGGGAAAGCATCAGGATAAATAGCTAATGCATGTGGGGCTTAATACCTAGGTGATGGGTTGATAGGTGCAGCAAACCACTGTGGCACATGTTTACCTATGCAACAAACCTGCATATCCCGCACATGTATCCTGGAAATTAAAATAAAATAAAATTTTAAAAAAAGAAAAGAAAACATGTACTCTAAAGCCACATTCCATACAACTCTATATGCATTCTACTATCTTATCCACTAATATTAATTTCCAATTAAGAATGAACAAAATCTTCCCCAAGCAGCTCTGTGATAAGTAACTTCCAAGGCAAGTGAGCACGATATTAATCAGAGGAGGCAGGGTGTTGCTGATACGGCAACATAGCAATGCACAAGATTCCAGTCAACACTGCTCAGAAGATAGACCTAGAGACTATTCTTAGATAATGGGCTCCCGCAGCAAGCTAGCTGATGTTGGAGGGAGGTGTTCTGCATAGCTTCTTATCATAAAATATTCATAAACTGTGGTCTTAGAGGGAGGGTACACCTAAAAGACTATTACAAACCCTCACTTCTAAACAAAAAATGGTGGAGAATACAGAGACACATATCTGTGCTGCTTCAAACACTCTACCACAACTGTTTTTCTTACCAGCTAACTTCTGAGTTGTGCTAAGTAATTCATTATAATAGGAATCTAGATCCTGGGTGTTTTCTAGTCATTTTTCATTCTAATTATTTCCTGGCAACTATTCATATTCAAAACATGAGTCATGAAACTGCTCTCTGGTAAGAGTTTAGGTTACCAAAGAAACTCCTCATTGTGCCAGAATATAACTTCAAAATCACATTAAATAGAACCTAGTTGAGCTTTTAAGCAGAAATAGAAAATATCTTCATATTCCATCAGTGTGTTTCCAGTTCCCTGGAACATCTGATAGTACTAATTGTCACCTTAATGTCCTCCATTCTGGCTCCACAACATTGACACTCTTCTTATTTAACAGATGACCTTCTAGCCACTGCTACTCTTTCTTCTTCAACTCATTGAAAATAAGTTTTATGAATTGAAATTGAATTGACCTTCAATGTGCCAGGAATTATGCTTTACATATTTGATTGCATATATGTCACTCAATATACCAGCAATGTAAGGATACCCCCATTTTACAGATTAGAAGGTTGAGGAATTTCCTTAAGGTTATATATCTGGAGTGGGGTGGAGTCCAGATTCAAACTAGATCTCCTGGTTCTTCACTTCAGTCTGTATACCATGAATCTCTTTCTTGTCTACTTCTTTTAGCTCTTGACCTCTTCTTTTTTATCATTTGCTCATTTTGCGTTCATTCATTCAATGAATATTTAATGAGCATCTACTATATGCCAATCCCTGAAGATAAATAGTAAACACCACGACTGGTGAACTCTGTGGGGTGAATCAAAGGATAAGTCTCTCCTTCTTATAGCTAATTACGTTCCCTGAAGTGCCTCTGATGGGCTGACACTACAAGAAAGCATTAGCCAACTTGTTCCAATAAATATTAATACTAGTGCTACAACAGGAATTCTGTGGTCAAATAAGTTTGAGGGAAACTGTGCTCTATAATTGCCTCTCAGAAATTTATAGCATGCATTGGCATTAAAAATTCTAGGAAATGCTTCACGGGAGCTGGGGATCACGGCTATAAACTACGCCTTAAGTTAGAGCTGGAGCCTGACCCTGTGTAGATAGAGCAGTTCTGGACCCTGACCCATAGCAAGACTCCTTTCCTAGCTGTGGACAGATGGACTATGGGTGCTGTAAACACCTGACTGATAGGTAGACCTATTGGCACCTCCATTTGCTGATGGATGTGCCATTTCTATGGCCAATGATGTGCTATGGGTTTCCTTATTATTTTGATCTGCAAGTCTCTTAATTTTGATTTTCCTCTTATTTTTGAACATAGCTGTTTATTTCCCTCCTTAAAAAAATTCAGGCGTACAGAATTAGATTAACCACAGTGCTTGGTTCATGACACACTTTCCTCCTTAGCTCACTTATGTTTATATATGTATGTACATATTTTTTATGCGTGTGTGTGTGTGTGTGTGTATTTATGTATTTCGTCTTTTCTTTCTTTCCCTTCCTATCCCTTTCCCTTTTTTCTCTCTGTCTTCTTTCCTTCCTTCTTTTCCTCTCACCACAAAGCTGTGTTTGACAATAATGTACATCTAGCAATATTGTTTTCCTCACAATACATCCCCTTTCCTCCACTCATATTTCTGAATCCTGTAGTCATCATTCCTTTCCTTTTTATATATAATTTTAATGGGTATATACATATCTTATAAAGCATATTTTTAATTATTTTTTACATCCCCAACAATTTTATTAGTGTGTATAATCCTTTGGGACTAAATTTTTCACTTTCTACTAAATATGCAAGATCCACCTTTATCATTTTGGGTCACTGTAGTTCATTTGTTTGGACCACTGTATAATAATCCATTTTGTAAATATACCATTGTTTATTCATCCACTCTTTTATTGATGAAATATGAGTTGCTTCTAAGATTTTGCTACTGAGAGCTATGAACAGTGTTTCTATAAAATTATTCTGTTATACATCTGCCAAAGTTGCTCGTACATGTTTAAGAATAGAATCAGTGGGTTATAGGGAATATGAATGTTCAACTTTGGGGGTAATGCCAAAATGATTTGCACCAAATTAAAATTTGATTGCACCAAATTACACTCACACAGGCAATGTGTAAAGAAATCCTGTGGCTCCACATTCTCTCTTACATTTGGTAATGTCAAACTTAGTTTTCTGTCAATTCAGTAAGTACGTCTTTTAGCCTAAAAATATTTTTTAGTCATTCTAGTGTTTGAAATAGAGAGTGAAGTTTATGCCTATGATAATTCTTTCTCTTTTTTTTAACTTTTTATTTACTTATTTTTTGAGACGGAGTCTTGCTCTGTCACCCAGGCTGGATTGCAATGGCGCAATCTCGGCTCACTGCAACCTCTGCCTTCTGGGTTCTAGCTATTCTCCTGCCTCAGCCTCCCCAGTAGCTGGGATTACAGGCACCTACCACCACTCCCGGCTAATTTTTGTATTTTTGTTGGAGACGAGGATTCACGATGTTGGCCAGGCTGTTCTTGAACTCTGCTGTGGCCTCCCAAAGTGCTGGGATTACAGAAGTGAGCCACCATGTCTCTAATTCTTTCATTTTGACCTAAAAGTCACTGACTTAAAACAATGCAGACTAAAGAGCATAGTAATGGGAGATGGACATGGCAGAAGGAAGTGAAATGTAGCGTAGAAAGACTGTCTATTAAAAAAAAAAAGCACCATCAGAAGCCAAATGCACATTCCTGCATGAATTCAGACGTGTCTCACTTTCACTTTCTTTCTTTTCTGGAATCACCTCATTGAATAAATAGACCTTGTGCTTTACTCCCTCTCAGGTCCCAAAACCTCCACAACCTTTCACTGTGTGTGAATCTTGTTGCCATGTAGCATGGTACATTAGTCAACTTGGGCTGCCATAACAAAATACCACAGACTGAGTACTTAAAGAACAGAAATTCATCTCCCAAGTTTTGGAGACTGGGAAGTCCAAGGCCAAAGTGCTGGTAAATTTGGTATCTGGTGAAGTCTCCCTTCCGAGCTTGTTGACAGATAGCTCTTGTGGCCATGTTGTCACATGACTTTTCATCAGTGCACGTGTGTGGACAAAGCGAGCTCTCTATTGTCTCTTTTTATAAGAACACTGATTTTACTGGATCAGGGCCCCACCTTTATGACCTCATTGAATCTTAATTACTTCCTTAGAGATTCCTTCTCCAAATACAGCCACCCTAGGGTTTACGGCTTTAACATAGGAATTTTGGAAGGTCACAAAATTTCAATCCATAAGATTCCACTCCCACTATCCCAAAATGTATGTCCTTCTTTCATGAAAGATACATTAATTGTATCCCAACAGCCCCCAAAGTCGTTACTCACTCTAGCATCAATTTTAAAGTCTAAGGTCACATCTAAATTTCAAAATCAGATGTGGGTGAGACCTGAGGCATTATTCACCTTGAGGCAAAATTGCTGTCTAGCTGTGAAACTGTGAAACCAGACAAGATATGTGCTTCCAAAACACAATGATGAGAGAGGCATACAATAAACATCCCTACTCCAAAAGGAGAAATAGGAAAGAAGAAAGGAGTGCCAGGTGTCAAGCAAGTCCAAAACCCAGTAAAGCAAATTCCAAGAGATCTTAAGATCTGAGAATAATTTTTGGTTCAGTGCTCTACCCTCCAGCCCCACTGGGGTGGCAACATCACTCCTACAGCTCTGTGGGGCAGCTCTACCTATTCATCTCCATAGGGCTTCCCTGCGCATGAAGCACTGGGTTGTGGCAGCCTGGCCTGCTGAAACTGAGGAGGTCACAACTTCTGTAAGCTTTGAGACACAGGAGAAAAGAGCCTTGCCCCTGGGCCTGTGATGACTGGCAGCCCTGATGATCTCTGGATTATAGGATCATCCTCTTTTTTTGAAGAATAAAACACATTCTTAGTCAAATAGTTTTATTGTTCCATCCTGTTTCCTTTGTTCCAAACTGTCACTGTTTTTGCTGGTGTAATCTCATCTTTATTCCTGGTTCCTGCTGAGATGGCTGGTTAAATCTGTTGTTCACACTCATACCAATCTCCTTATCAAATAGTTGTTGATCCACAGCCTTAGAGTTTTCTTCAGAACATGCTTTTTCATTTTTGCAATATTGATGAGCTGAGAAATTTTCAAAACTTCAAATTCTGGTTCCGTTTTTTCCTTAACAATTCCTTCAATTTATCTCTCTTCTCTCTCATTTTATTATAAGTGGTAAGGAGAAATCAAGTTGCTCCTTCAACAGTTAGCTTAAAAATCTCCTTAGCCAAATACCAATTTCATCACTTACGAGTTTTACTTTCTTCCAAACATTAGAACAGAATGCAGCCAAGTTCTCTGCCACTTTATAATAAGGATCACCTTTCCTCCAGTTTCCAGTAACTTATTCCTCATCTCTTTCTGAAGCCTTGCCAAAATGGCCTTTAATATCCATATTTCTACAAACATTCTGTTCGTGGTGATATATATGATCTCTAAGATGACAGAAGCTTTCTTTGTAACTCTCTTTTTTTTCCCTGAGCCCTCACCAGAGTTGCCTTTAATATTCATGATATGGTTTGGCTCTGTGTCCCTGTCCAAATCTCATCTGGAGTTGTAATCCCCATGTGTCAGCGGATGGACCTGGTGGGAGGTGATTGGATCATGGGGGTGGTTTCCCCCATGCTGCTCTCATGATAGTGAGGGAGTTCTCACCAGAGCTGATGGTTTTAAGTGTGGCATTTCCTCTCTCTTTCCTGCCACCACGTAAGATGTGCCTTGCTTCCCCTTCACTTTCCACCATGATTGTAAGTTTCCTGAGGCCTTCCAAGCCATGCAGAACTGTGAGTCAATTAAACCTCTTTCCTTTCCTTTATAAATTACCCAGTCTCAGGTAGTATCTTTATAGTAGTGTGAAAATGGACTAATACAATCCATATTTCTATCACTACTTAATTCTAGGCAACGTAAGCTTTTTCTACCATATGTTTCTAAATTTATCCCTTCTCTATCTATTACCCAGTTCCAAAGCCTCTTTCATGTGTTTAGTTATTTGTTACAGCAGCACCCTACTCCTTGGTACCAAAATCTGTATTAGTCAGCCTTGACTGCCATAACAAAATACCAGACTGGGTGGCTTTAACAACAACAATTTATTTTCTCACAGTCCTGGGAACTAGAAGTTCCAGATCAAGATTTGGCAGGGTTGGTTTTTTTTGTGAGGGCTCTATTCTTGGCTTGCAGACAGCCACCTTCTTGCTATGTCCTTACATGACCTGTCCTTGGTGTGTGCACATGAAGAGAGACAGTAATCAAACTCTCTGGTGTCTCTTATTATAAGTCCCTATTGGATCAGGGACTTACCCTTATGACCTACTGCAACCTTAATTACTTCTACTCCAAATACAGCCAGCCTGGAGTTTATTGCTTCAACCTGTGAATTCTAGGGGACACAAAAAATTCAGTCTATAATACATGGTTATACTGGAGTTAGCCATTGGTATAAAGCTGGTGCTTTGTTCTCAAACCTTAGCCTTCTAAGCACTCTTGATGTTTGTTGCTGCCTGATTTGATTTATAATATTAGTTCTGATTAGTTCATCATCAGTTCCTAAGTATTCTGACTAAATTCTGAATTCTCTAAATTCTGTGATGGGCAAAGTTTGGGTTATAATTGCACAGACTACAATGCCAGCTTCCTGCAGGCATGGATTACCAAGTATTAGGAGAGTAGCATGTAATTCAGGTAATTATGTTCTTTACAGAGTATAAGCATACTCTTTAAAATATAACACGTATTTTTTCTTAATCATAAATGTAATGGATGTTTATTATAGAAAATTTATGGAAGCAAAATGAAGAAAATCAAAATCATCCAAATGTAATCATCCAGGGTTTAGTTACTTTTAATATTTTGATGTAGATCATCCCCATCCATTATATATACATATGTAGGTATTGCTACACAGTGTTTTTTTAAACTAAAAAGGACCTAGATATTCTTCTCTGTGGGATTCCATAGTTTAATTGATCAGTAACTATGCTATTTTCTTTCTTTCTTGTTATTATAAAATGTACCATAATGAGTATTTCTGTAGGAAAATATTTGTGCATCCATAATTTTTTTTTAAAATAAATTCCTAGGAGTAGAATTATTTGGTTAAAAGTTTTTAAAGCTTTTGATACATATTTCCAAAAAGCCCTTGTGGAAGCTGCATTAACTCTCCTGCCAACGTTGTAAAAGAATGGCTGCTTCTTTTCATCAGCACCCTCTATGAGTACTGGCATTAGAAAACAGTGTTACTGAATTGTTATGTGAAAATGGGTATGTGGTTTTTTTTTTATTAGCATATGTTTTCCTCCCTTTCCTTCTTCCTTTTCTTCTTCCATTATTTTCCTCCCTTCCTTCATTTTCTTCTTTCCTCTTTTTTCCTTCCTTCCTTCCTTCCTCTTTCTGTCTTCTTTTCCTCATTGTCTCCGTTTATTTTTTCCTTCCAAGTTAAACATTCTTATCTGTGGAACCAACTTATTGATCAAATGTCCCCAATAGGGTATAAGCAATTTTATTCATTTCTCTATTGTCCATTTAAACCACTTTGCAAACCCATTCTTCCTTGAAAGACTCTTCTGGAAGGTTCAATAACTTTTAAAAATCGTCCTTCTGCCACTTCCAGTTCCAAAAACAGCTTCATATCACAAATTAAAATATCCAGTTCTGTGTCATATTGTATAACTCTATAGTACTTTCTACTCTAAAACTTCATCTTCCCCCATTTTAGAATTGCTCCAGGCTGGGAAATCTGCAATGGGGAGAAGGCATGGCTAGTTTCCCATTTTGTACAACTTAGTAAATTAGTTAAAAGTTTTTCGTAAAAAGTAATATATCTCTTTTTTACTTTATAACTTAGTGAAAGGTAGTTTCCCCCAAACTCAGTATTTTCCCCAACTCCAGAAGAGCCAGACATGACCATCGTGAAAATTCTTTCCTAGGATTCTCACCCTGTTGGGCTCTCATGAGGTGGACAGTGCCTCTATTGGCTGGCCTATTATATACCCCACCCTCTCTGTGCATGCATAACCTTTTCCTCCTGAGGTTATCCAGGCTCTGTCAAGAAGCTTGCTATGATGTTGTCTTTTAAAAAACTTTTCTTGCTCCTTCCCTTGGACTTGTAAACCTACGGGCAAACCCTACCATTCCTGGAAGAGACCAGCTCCTGATATAACTCTTCTTACTCTGTGGGTTCAGATATAGCCAACCACATTTAGTCTTCTCAGACAACATAAAATTCAATCACTATTCTTCAGACTCAGGAAACTACAGATCATGCTCTCTGAGAGATTCCTTCTTCAGTGACTGGAGGTGAGGAGGAAGTGTTGAAAAAAGCAGGGGAGGGGGAGGAAGCACAACACACTGGTGACTTTTCTTCAAGTGGTTTCTTCAGCTTCCACTCTCTTTTAGGCTGGGGATGGATAATTACCTGAGCTGGCAGAATAGTTTTCACAGTCGCTCAGCATGTCTGGAACATGAGGATCCTTGGCACTTACTATTTTTCCTCATTCAGTTTTAACATCCTGTTGCATAAGTATCTTTTTAACCATTTGGATTTTGTTGTTGTTGATTGCTTACTTAAAAAATTCTTAGCGGCCGGGTGCGGTGGCTCACGTCTGTAATCCCAGCACTTTGGGAGGCCAAGGTGGGCGGATCATGAGGTCAGGAGATCGAGACCATCCTGGCTAACACGGTGAAACCCTGTTTCTACTAAAAATACAAAAAATTAGCCGGGTGTGGTGGTGGGCGCCTGTAGCCCCAGCTACTCGGGAGGCTGAGGCAGAAGAATGGTGTGAACCTGGGAGGCAGAGCTTGCAGTGAGCTGAGATCGCACCACTGCACTCCAGCCTGGACCACAGAGCCAGACTCCATCAAAAAAAAAAAAAAAAAATTCTTAGCTCATTTTCCTATAGTTTTTTCCCTTTCTGATTTTTAAGAGTTCTTATAGAAGAGCTATTATCTACATGTGGCAAATAGATAATATATGATCGTACATAGTGCAAATAAAGGAAAAATTTGCTATTTTGCTATTTTTGATTATTGGTTTTGCAAAACAAATTTAAGGTGGATGCCATTTAGAGCAAACTAGAAAGAAATTTAAGCAACAGGTCTTTCTTATTATCAACTGAAAGTATCAGCATATATTAATCCTACTGTAATTTTTCTTATTCTTCTTTAAAAAGTATTTTTTGCTTTCTCTCATGTAGATATTAAGTATCAAAAATTTGTCTAAAGTCATCTCAGGTTGACAGCTTTCTTCACTGTCAGCATTAATCTCCATGTACTGGCTTCTAGTTGCTGTTATATAGAAGCCTTATTTTTAGTCTTCTTAAACTAATCTGAGGGATTTACATTTCCTGTGCATTCTTTGCACACAGGGGAACTACTTTCTCCATGAGAAGTTTTCCTATGCTCCAAGTGACCACTCTCAATCAGAAAAAAAGATTTCTGTATTTGGGACATTCATACGTGTGTGCATAGTAGCAGAAAGGACTTTTTTCTTTATTATACTTTAAGTTCTGGGATACATGTGCAGAACGTGTAGGTTTGTTACATAGGTATACATGTGCCATGGTGGTTTGCTGCACCCATCAACCCGTCATCTACATTAGGTATTTCTCCTAATGTTATCCCTCCCCTAGGCCCCCACCCCCTAACAGGCCCTACTGTGTGATGTTCCCCTCCCTGTGTCCATGTGTTCTCATTGTTCAACTCCAACTTATGAGTGAGAACATGCGGGGTTAGGTTTTCTGTTCTTATGTTAGTTTGCTGAGAATGATGATTTCCAGTTTCATCCATGTCCCTGCAAAGGACATGAACTCATCCTTTTTTATGGCTGCATAGTATTCCATGGTGTATATGTGACACATTTTCTTTGTCCAGTCTATCATTGATAGACATTTGGGTTGATTCCAAGTCTTTGCTATTGTGAATAGTACTGCAATAAACATATATGTGCATGTGTCTTTATCGTAGAATTATTTATAATCCTTTGGGTATATACCCAGTAATGGGATTGCTGGGTGAAATGGTATTTCTGGTTCTAGATAATTGAGGAATCACCACACCGTCTTCCACAATGGTTCAACTAATTTACACTCCCACCAACAGTGTAAAAGCATTCCTATTTCTCCACATCCTCTCCAGCATCTGTTGTTTCCTGACTTTTTAATGATTACCATTCTAACTGGCGTGAGATGGTATCTCATTGTAGTTTTGATTTGCATATCTCTAATGACCAGTGATGACGGGTTTTTTTTTTCATATGTTTGTTGGCTGCATAACTGTCTTCTTTTGAAAAGTATCTGTTCGTATTCTTTGTCCAATTTTTGAGGGGGTTGTTTGTTTTTTTTCTTGTAAATCTGTTTAAGTTCCTTGTAGATTCTGGATATTAGCCCTTCTTCAGATGGATAGATGGCAAAAATTTTCTCCCATTCTGTAGGTTGCCTGTTCACTCTGATGGTAGTTTCTTTTGCTATGCGGAAGCTCTTTAGTTTAATTAGATCCCATTTGTCAATTTCGGCTTGTGTTGCAGTTGCTTTTGGTGTTTGAGTCATGAAGTTTGCCCATGCCTATGTCCTGAATGGTATTGCCTACTTTTCTTCTAGGGTTTTTATGGTTTTGGTTCTTACATTTAAGTCTTTAATCCATTTTGAGTTAATTTTTGTATAAGGTGTAAGGAAGGGGTCCAGTTTGTTTTCTGCATATGGCTAGCCAGTTTTCCCAACATCATTTATTAAATAGGGAATGCTTTCCCCATTGCTTGTTTTTGTCAGGTTTGTCAAAGATCAGACAGTTGTAGATGTGTGGTGTTATTTCTGAGGACCCTGTTCTGTTCCATTGGTCTATATATCTGTTTTGGTACCAGTACCATACTGTTTTGGTTACTGTAGCCTTGTAGTATAGTTTGAAGTCAGGTAGCATGATGCCTCCAGCTTTGTTCTTTTCACTTAGGATTGTCTTGGCTGTATGGGCTATTTTTTGGTTCTATGTGAAACTTAAAAGTAGTTTTTTCCAATTCTGTGAAGAAAGTCAATGGTAGTTTGATGGGGATGGCATTGAATGTATAAATTACTTTGGGCAGTATGGCCATTTTCATGATATTGATTCTTCCTATCCATGAGCATGGAATGTTCTTCCATTTGTTTGTGTCCTCTTTTATTTCATTGAGCAGTTGTTTGTAGTTCTCCCTTAAAGAGGTCCTTCACATCCATTGTAAGTTGGATTCCCAGGTATTTTATTCTCTTTGTAGCAATTGTAAATGGGAGTTGTCTCATGATTTGGCTCTCTGTTTGTCTGTTAATGGTATATAGGAATGCTTGTGATTTTTGCACATTGATTTGGTATCCTGAGACTTTGCTGAAGTTGCTTATCAGCTTAAGGAGATTTTGGACTGAGATGATGGGGTTTTCTCAATACACAATCATGTCATCTGCAAAGAGGGCAATTTGACTTCCTCTCTTTCTAATTGAATACCCTTTATTTCTTTTTCTTGCCTGATTGCTCTGGCCAGAACTTCCAACATTATGTTGAATCGGAGTGGTGACAGAGGGCATCTTGTGCCGGTTTCCAAAGGGGAAGCTTCCAGTTTTTGTCCATTCAGTATGATATTGGGTGTGGGTTTGTCATAAATAGCTCTTATTATTTTGAGATACGTTCCATCAATACCTAGTTTATTGAGAGTTTTCAGCATAAAGGGGTGTTGAATATTGTTGAAGGACTTTTCTGCATCTATTGAGATAATCATGTGGTTTTTGTCATTGGTTCTGTTTATGTGATGGATTAGGTTTATTGATTTGCGTATGTTGAACCAGCCTTGCATCCCAGGGATGAAGCTGACTTGATCATGGTGGATAAGCTTTTTGATGTGCTGCTGGATTCAGTTTGCCAGTATTTTATTGAGGATTTTCACACCCATGTTCATCAGGGATATTGGCCTGAAATTTTCTTTTTTTTGTTGTTTCTCTGCCAGGTTTTGGTATCACCTGATGCTGGCCTCATAAAATGAGTTAGGGATGATTCCCTCTTTTTCTATAGTTCGGAATTGTTTCAGAAGGAATAGTACCAGCTCCTCTTTGTACCTCTGGTAGAAATTGGCTGTGAATCTGTCTGATCCTGGACTTTTATTGGTTGGTAGGCTATTAATTAGTGCCTCAATTTCAGAACATCTTATTGGTCTATTCAGGGATTCTATTTCTTCCTGGTTTAGTCTTGGGAGGGTGTATGCATCCAGGAATTTATCTATTTCTTCTAGATTTTCTAGTTTATTTGCATAGAGGTATTTATAGTATTCTCTGATGGTAGTTTGTATTTCTGTGGGATCAGTGGCGATCTCCCCTTTATCATTTTTTATTGTGTCTATTTAATTCTTCTCTCTTTTCTTCTTTATTAGTCTGGCTACCAGTCTATCTAATTTGTTAATCTTTTCAAAAAACCAACTCCCGGATTTGTTGATTTTTTTGAAGTTTTTTTTTATGTCTCTATGGCCTTCAGTTCTGCTCTGATCTTAGTTATTTCTTGTCTTCTGCTAGCTTTCGAATTTATTTGCTCTTGCTTCTCTAGTTCTTTTAATTGTGATGTTAGGGTATCAATTTTACATCTTTCCCACTTTCTCCTGTGGGGATTGAATACTATAAATTTCCCTCTAAGCACTGCTTTAGCTGTGTCCCAGAGATTCTGGTACATTGTGTCTTTGTTCTCATTGGTTTCAAAAAACTAATTTATGTCTGCCTTAATTTTGTTATTTACCCAGTAGTCATTCAGGAGCAGGTTGTTCAGTTTCCGTGTAGTTGTGTGGTTTTGAGTGAGTTTCTTAATCCTGAGTTGTAATTTGATTGCACTGTGGTCTGAGAGACGGTTTGTTATGATTTCCATTCTTTTTCATTTGCTGAGGAGTGTTTTACTTCCAATTATGTGATCAATTTTGGAGTAAGTGTCGTGTGGTGCTGAGAAGAATGTATATTCTGTTGATTTGGGGTGGAGAGTTCTGTAGATGTCTATTAGGTCCCCTTGGTCCAGAGCTGAATTTAAGTCCTGAATATCCTTGGTAATTTTCTGTCTCATTTACCTATCTAATATTGACAGTGGGGTGTTAATGTCTCCCAGTATTATTGTGAGGGAGTCTAAGTCTCTTTGTAGGTCTCTAAGAACTTGCTTTACAAATCGGGTGCTCCTGTATCGGGTGCATCTATATCTAGGATACTTAGCTCTTCTTGTTGCATTGATCCCTTTACCATTATGTAATGCCCTACTTTGTCTTTTTTGATCTTTGTTGGTTGAAAGTCTGTTTTATCACAGACTAGGATTGCAACCCCTGATTTTCTATTTATTTATTTATTTGCTTTCCATTTTCTTGGTAATACTCCTCCATCCCGGAAGATCTACCAAGCAAATGGAAAGCAAAAAAAAGCTGGGGTTGCAATCCTAGTCTCTGATAAAACAGACTTAAACCAACAAAGATCAAAAGAGACAAAGAAGGCCATTACATAATGGCAAAGGGATCAATTCAACAAGAAGAGCTAACTATCCTAGATATACATGCACGCAATACAGGAGCACCCAGATTCATAAAGCAAGTCCTTAGAGACCTAAAAAGAGACTTAGACTCCCAAACAATAATAACGGAAGACTTTAACACCCCACTGTCAATATTAGACAGATCAACGAGACAGAGGTTAACAAGGATATCCAGGACTTGAACTCAACTCTGCACCAAGCAGACCTAATAGACATCCACAGAACTCTCCACTCGAAATCAACAGAATATACATTCTTCTCAGCATCACATGGCACTTTTTCTAATATTGACTACATAATTGGAAGTAAAGCACCTCTCAGCAAATGTAAAAGGACAGAAATCACAACAAATTGTCTCAGAACACAGTGCAATCAAACTAGAACTCAGGATTAAGAAACTCACTCAAAACCGCTCAACTACATGGAAAGTGAACAACCTGCTCCTGAATGACTACTGGGTAAATAATAAATGAAGGCAGAAATAAAGATGTTCTTTGAAACCAATGAGAACAAAGACACAAAGTACCTGAATCTCTGGGACATATTTAAAGCAGTGTGTAGAGGGAAATTTATAGTACTAAATGCCCACAAGAGAATGCAGGAAAGATCTAAAATTGACACCCTAATATCACAATTAAAAGAACTAGAGAAGCAAGAGCAAACAAATTCAAAAGCTAGCAGAAGACAAGAAATAACTAACATCAGAGCAGAACTGAAAGAGATAGAGACACAAAAAACCCTTCAAAAAATCAATGAATCCAAAAACTGGTTTTTTGAAAATATCAAAAAAATTGATAGACTGGTAGCAAGACTAGTAAAGAAGGAAAGAGACAATAATCAAATAGGCCCAATAAAAAATGATAATGGGGATTATCACCACTGATCCCACAGAAATACAAACTACCATCAGAGAATACTATAAATACCTCTATGCAAATAAACTAGAAAATCTAGAAGAAATGGATACATTCCTGGACCACATACGCCCTCCCAAGACTAAACCAGGAAGAAGCTGATTCTCTGAATAGACCAATAACAGACTCTGAAATTGAGGCAATAATTAATAGCCTACCAACCAAAAGAAGTCCAGAACCAGAGGGATTCACAGCTGAATTCCATCAGAGGTACAAAGAGGAGGTGGTACCATTCCTTCTGAAACTATTCCAATCAATAGAAAAAGAGAGAATCCTCACTAACTCATTTCATGAGGCCAGCATCACCCTGATACCAAAGCCTGGCAGACAGACAACAACAAAAAAGAGAATTTTAGACCAATATCCCTGATGAACATCGATGCAAAAATCCTCAATAAAATACTGGCAAACTGAATCCAGCAGCACATCAAAAAGCTTATCCACCACAATCAAATCGGCTCCATCCCTGGGATGCAAGGCTGGTTCAACATATGCAAATCAATAAACCTAATCCATCACATAAACTGAAGCAACGACAAAAACCACATGATTATCTCAATAGATACAGAAAAGGCCTTTGACAAAATTCAACAACCCTTCATGCTGAAAACTCTCAATAAACTAGGTATTCATGGAACGTATCTCAAAATAATAAGAGCTATTTATGACAAACCCACACCCAATATCATACTGAATGGACAAAAACTGGAAGCATTCCCTTTGGATACTGGCACAAGACAAGGATGTCCTCTCTCACCACTCCTATTCACCATAGTGTTGGACGTTCTGGCCAGGGCAATCAGGCAAGAGAAAGAAATAAAGGGTATTCAATTAGAAAGAGAGGAAGTCAAATTGCCCCTCTTTGCAGATGACATGATTGTGTATTTAGAAAACCCCATCATCTCAGTCCAAAATCTCCTTAAGCTGATAAGCAACTTCAGCAAAGTCTCAGGATACAAAATCAATGTGCAAAAATCACACGCATTCCTATACACCATTAACAGACAAACAGAGAGCCAAAGTATGAGTGAACTCCCATTCACAATTGCTACCAAGCGAATGAAATACCTAGGAATTCAGCTTACAAGGGATGTGAAGGACCTCTTCAAGGAGAACTACAAACCCCTGCTCAATGAAATAAAAGAGGATACAAACAAATGGAAGAACATTCCATGCTCATAGGTTGGAAGACTAATATCATGAAAATGGCCATACTGCCCAAGGTATTTTATAGATTCGATGCCATTCCCATCAAGATAAAAATGACTTTCTTCACAGAATTGGAAAAAACTAAAGTTCACATGGAACCAAAAAAGAGCCCACACTGCCAAGTAATCCTAAGCAAAAAGAACAAAGCTGGAGGCATCACGCTACCTGACTTCAAACTATACTACAAGGCTACGGTAACCAAAAGAGCATGGTACAGGTACCAAAACAGATATATAGACCAATGGAACAGAACAGAGGGCTCAGAAATAACACCACACATCTACAACCATCTGAACTTTGACAAACCTGACAAAAACAAGAAATCGGGAAAGGATTCCCTATTTAATAAATGGTGCTGGGAAAACTGTCTAGCTATATGTGGAAAGCTGAAACTGGATCCCTTCCTTACATCTTGTGCAAAAATTAATTCAAGATGGATTAAAGACTTAAATGTTAAACCTTAAACCATAAAAACCCTAGGAGAAAACCTGTGCAATAGCATTCAGGACATAGGCATGGGCAAAGACTTCATGACTAAAACACCAAAAGCAATGGCAACAAAAGCCAAAATAGACAAATGGGATCTAATTAAACTAAAGAGCTTCTGCACAGCAAAAGAAACTACCATCAGATTGAACAGGTGACCTAGAGAATGGGAGAAAATTTTTGCAATCTACCCATCTGACCAAGCATTAATATCCAGAATCTACAAAGAACTCAAACAAATTTACAAGAAAAAAAAAACAATCCCATGAAAAAGTGGGCAAAGGATACGAACAGACACTTCTCAAAAGAAGACATCTATGCAGCCAACAGGCACATGAAAAAATGCTCATCATCACTGGTCATCAGAGAAAAGCAAATCAAAACCACTGTGAGATACCATCTCATGCTAGTTAGAATAGCAATCATTAAAAAGTCAGGAAACAACAGATGCTGGAGAGGATGTGGAGAAATAGGAAGGTTTTTACATTGTTGGTGGGAGTGTAAATTAGTTCAACCATTGTGGAAGACGGTGTGGTGATTCCTCAAGGATCTAGAACTGGAAATACCATTTGACCCAGCAATCCAGTTACTAGGTATATACCCAAAGGATTATAAATCATGCTACTATAAAGACACATGCACACGTATGTTTATTGTAGCACTATTCACAATAGCAAAGACTTTGCTATTGGGAATCAACCCAAATGTCCATCAATGATAGACTTGACAAAGAAAATGTGTCACATATACACCATGGAATACTACGCAGCCATAAAAAGGATGAGTTCATCTCCTTTGCAGGGACATGGATGAAACTGGAAACCATCATTCTCAGCAAACTATCACAAGGACAGAAAACCAAATACCGCATGTTCTCGCTCATAGGTGGGAATTGACCAATGAGAACACTTGGACACAGGGCAGGGAACATCACACACCAGGGCCTGTTGTGTGGTGGGGGGCTGGGGGAGGGATAGCATTAGGAGAAATACCTAATGTAAATGACGAGTTGATGGGTGCAGGAAACCAACATGGCACATGTATACCTATGTATCAAACCTGCACATTGTGCACATGTACCCTAGAACTTAAAGTATAATACAAAAAAAAAATACTCTTCCATCCTTTTATTTTGAGCCTATGTGTGTCTTTGCACATGAGATGGGTCTCCTGAATACAGCACACTGATGGGTCTTGACTCTTTATCCAGTTTGCCACTCTGTGTCTTTTAATTGGGCCATTTAGCCCATTTACATTTATGGTTAACATTGTTATGTATGAATTTGATCCTGTCATTATGATGCTACCTCGTTATTTTGCCTGTTAGTTGATGCAGTTTCTTCATAGTGTCGATGGTCTTTCCATTTTGGTATGTTTTTGCAGTAGCTGATAGTGGTATTTTCTTTCCATATTTAGTGTTTCCTTCAGGAGCTCTTGTAATGCAGGCCTGGTGGTGACAAATTCTCTCAGCATTTGCTTGTCTGTAAAGGATTTTATTTCTCCTTTGCTTATGAAGCTTAGTTTGGCTGGATATGAAATTCTGGGTTGAATTTTTTTTTTAAGAACGTTGATAATTGGCCCGCACTCTCTTCTGGCTTGTAGGGTTTCTGCAGAGAGATCCACTGTCAGTCTGATGGGCTTCCCTTTGTGGGTAACCCGACCTTTCTCTCTGGCTGCGCTTAACATTTTTTCCTTTATTTCAGCCTTGGTGAATCTGACAGTTATTTGTCTTGGAGTTGCTCTTTTCGAGGATTATCTTTGTGGTATTCTCTGTATTTCCTGAATTTGAATGTTGGCCTGTCTTGCTAGGTTGGGCAAGTTCTGCTGGATAATATCTTGTTTTCCAACTTGGTTCCATTCTCCCTGTCACTTTCAGGTGCACCAATCAAACATAGGTTTGGTTGGTGTTTTCACATAATCCCATATTTCTTGGGGGCTTTGTTCATTCCTTTTCATTAGTTTTTTCTCTAATCTTGTCTTCATGTTGTATTTCATTAAGCTGGTATTCAATCACTGATATTCTTTCTTCTGCTTGATCAATTTGGCTATTGATACTTGTGTATGCTTCATGACATTGTCATACTGTATTTTTCAGCTCTATCAGGTCATGTATGTTCTTCTGTAAACTGGCTATTCTAGTTAGCAATTCCTCTAACTTTTTTTTCAAGGTTCTTAGCTTCCTTGCATTGAGTTAGAACATGCTTCTTTAGCTGGGAGGAGTTTGTTATTACCCACCTTCTGAAGCCTAGTTCTGTCAGTTTGTGAAACTCATTCTCCATCCAGTTTTGTTCCCTTGCTGGTGAGGAGTTGTGATTCTTTGGAGGAGAAGAGGCATTCTGGTTTTTGGAATTTTCAGCCTTTTTGCACTGGTTTTTCCTCATCTTCTTGGATTTATCTACCTTTGGTTTTTGATGTTTGTGAACTTTGGATGGGATTTTTGTGTGGACGTCCTTTTTATTGATGTTGATGCTATTCCTTTCTGTTTGTTAGCTTTCCTTCTAACAGTCAGGCCCCTCTGCTGCAGGTCTGCTGGAACTTCCTGGGGGTCCACTCTAGACCCTGTTTGCCTGGATATCACCAGCAGAGTCTACAGAACAGCAGTTTGTTGCCTGTTCCTTCCTCTGGAAGCTTCGTCCCCGAGGGGCACCTGTCAGATGTCAGCCAGAGCTCTCCTGTATGAGGTGTCTATTGATCCCTGCTGGGAGGTGTCTACCAGTCATGAGGCATGGGGGTCAGGGACCCACTTGAGGAGGCAGTCTGCCCCTTAGCAGAGCTCGAATGCTGTGCTGGGAGATCCACTGTTCTCTTCAGAGCTGGCTGGCAGGAATGTTTCAATCTGCTGAAGCTGTGCCCACAGCCACCCCTTTCCCCAAGTGCTGTGTCTCAGGGAGATGCGAGTTTTATTTACAAGCCCCTGACTGGGGCTGCTTTCTTTCTTTCAGAGATGCCCTGCCCAGAGAGGAGCAATCTAGAGAGGCAGTCTGACTACACTGGCTTTGCCTAGCTGCGGTGGTCTCCACCCAGTTCAAACTTCCTGGTGGCTTTGTTTATGCTATGAGGGAAAACTGCCTACTCAAGCCTCAGTAATGGCAGACACCCCTCCCTGTACCAAGCTCATGTGTCCCAGGTTGACGTCAGATTGCTGTGCTGGCAGTGAGAATTTCAAGCCAGTGGATCTTAGCTTGCTGGGCTCCATTGGGGTGGGATCCGCTGAGCTAGACCAGTTGGCTCACTGGCTTCAGCCTCCTTTCCAGGGGAGTAAACGATTCTCTCTTCCTGGCATTCCAGGTGCCACTGGGGTCTGAAAAAAACTCCTGCAGCTAGCTCGGTGTCTGCCCAAATGGCTGCCCAGTTTTGTGCTTGAAACCCAGGGCCCTGGTTGTGTACGCACTTGAATGAATCTCCTGGTCTGTGGGTTGCAAAGACCATGGGAAAAGCATAGTATTTGGGCTGGAATGCACCATTCCTCATGGCACAGTCTCTCACGGCTTCCCTCGGCTAGGGGAGGGAGTTCCCCAACCCCTGCACTTATGGGGTGAGGCAATGCCCCACCTTGCTTCTGCTCACCCTCTGTGGGCTGCACCCGCTGTCTAACCAGTCCCAGTGAGATGAGCTGGGTACCTCAGTTGGAAATGTAGAAATTACCCACCTTCTGAATTGATCTCGCTGGGAGCTGTAGACTGAAGCTGTTCTTATTTGGCCATCTTGTCCAGGTCCCCTCAGGATATTAAAAAAAAATGTGGCAATGACTTTATCTACTTATCTCTTTCAAGCTGGAAATTATCTTGTAAGTTAGTTAAATCTACACAGAATGCACTGTTTTTTAATATCAGACATCCAACAGTTCTTTTGAGCCTACTTCTGGAAGACTTTTAAAATTATGTGTATTTTTTTCTGTTTAAAACATATTTGAATAAAATATATTAAAAATTTATCATAAAATACTTTCTTCCCACTTCTCAAATCCACTCCTGACACTTTTGGAAGCTTCTTTTTGTGTTCATTAAGGCCTCTAGTAATTTTCCTCTGACTGGCCTCAGGCCCTTAACATTTGTCTAGCTGTACATATAGAAGCTTATTTATCAGGAGTTTTCAGTTAACTCCCAAAGTTAGTTAAATCAAATAATTATAAAAATGATGCATGTATATGTTGTATATTTTGCATAACTCAAAACACAAACATGTGCATTCTTTACTAAATTTTTCATGTAGGACCAAGGCCCTTTCTCTGAGTAGATGTCACTGACTGAAGGTCTACATGGTCTTCTTGCATATATGACTCCCATTGTGCATAATTTACAATTTACAGTTTCAGTTTCATTAAGTGGAGGTAACATTTGAAGAGACTTAGGAAGCAATATGAGTGTAGAATTATTCTATATTGATATGTAGTTTTCCAGCATTTTATGCTTTTTTTCCCACTCTCATTTTATGCTATTTTTTTCAAAGTATTAATAACTGTTTTGTGAAGAGCCCAACTTTGTTTTTATGACAGCTTCATCCTTTGACCTTTCATCATTGCCTTGGTTTGGTTCAAAGACAAGCTTCAATTTCATCATCAATTTTCCCTAGCACGTAGCATAGCATAGCCCCTGGAACATGGGAGATTCCTGATGTATATTTAACAAAGGATAGATTAAGGAAAACAAAGGAAAGAAGAAGAATTTGATAACACAGAATATTTTTCTGTTATGTGCCAGGCCCTGTGTTTCCGTTAACTGGAAAACTGTATTTAACACAGGGTCTAGCACGTAACAGAAAAATCACAGTTCGTCAGTTAGTCAGAAGTTCATGATAGACAGTCTGTGTTAAGAGGTCTGGCCTGAATCCAGGGTAGAGTGACCCAACTGGGGCTTGACATCAGAACCTGGAGAGAATTTCACTAGAAGTTAAGAGATGTGGAAGGAACTTTCCAAGAGCTTTTCTTGAACAATGCAGACCTCCTCCTGCTATTCATCATGCATTCCTCCTAGGAATAAAGGAGAGGAAGAGAGAAGACATATAGATAAGGTCCGATCGCAACCTTGGAAACAGACCTTGTTTCCATGTTTCCTCATTTCAGCTTTATATCCATGATCTGGAATGTTTTTTAGAACTGCAGCTCACTTAGACTTTTTTTTTCTCAACATTTATCTTGATTCCCTGTGCCGCCAATCACAGAGCTAGACACATGGCAGGTCCTTACTGACTGACCAGGAGGTAAGGACTGACCTTTGCTTGGCGGCAGGGTAGAAAAAAAGAACACCGATAGATTAGCAAAGAAAGTGGATGACAAAGACCTTGAAACATCCAGACAGAAAAAAAATTGAAGCCAAATCACTGAGAGAAGGCTCTGAGGATAGCATTCACATTTTTCCTCTCAAGTTTTATGCAACCAGGAAGAAGCTATTACATTCTGCAAGGTTTACGTAATATTTCTGTAAATTAGTTCAGTGAAGATAGCATGGAATAGTAATTAAGAGTCAGAACATTGACATCTGACAGATAGCATCCCAGCTCTGGCTCTGAGAAGTCTTAGTTTGTTTGTAAATTGGCTGTAATTATAGTGACCAACTCACAGCATTGTGGTAAGGACTAAATGAATGCTTAGTAGAGTTTCCGGATCATAGTATTGATAATTTCTTCATAAAAGCATACAGATATCTATACTGTATACTACTGGGTGTGCTCAAATTCATATTATCAGGAAGTTTCCTAAGAAAAGGAATTGCCAACCAGCTCCCAGAAGAAGACATAGACCTGAACAAATCTGGGGTTTCATTTTGAAATAGTCTCTTACTCCATTGATAACTTACTGAAAACTTGTTGTTAACTGGCATTTGCACACTCTCTAAGCAAGTGATACTTGGTCTTTACAGGGACTTGCCTCCTAAACCATCAGTGATTTAATCCTGTCCATTTAGTTTTAGTATTAAGTGAATTATATTGTATTCTAAAATTGCTTGTCTGAATTTGTAACACAAATAAAGTATTTTGGTAACCTTCTGTAAAACCGAATACCTTAATTAAGTGGAACCAAAATCAGGTCAAGAGTTACATATATAGACCAACTGCCCGGCAATCTTACTATGACAATCATTGGAACAAAGTAACTGTTTTTGACAAACTGATTTTTTTTCAACATTGGTGGCTCATACTTTCCATTAATTAGAAAACTGTTGTATTTGATTGAATTTGACAGACATTTATAGACCACCTACCATGAGCCGTTCTAGTTCCCAAGGATATCATACTGTCAGGAGGAGAGAGATAGGTATATCTGAATTTCCATATAGTGTTATCGGTGTTATGATGGATTCAACACAGGTATTAGAAATGTCTTGGTGTTTATGATTTTTGTAATAAAAATAATCTGGCATACTTTCAATTTTTAAAGTAATTTTAGAAAGGATATCCATATTTATGTTTAACCTACTTCATCTTACAATTTGTTCGTCATTATTTTAGGGCCACTCGGTTAGACAAGTGATGAGCAAGTAAACCACAACAGAGGTACAGTATGTGTTCACCAGAGTGGCTTCTTGTAAACTTCCCTGCAGAAAAGTCCTGGAAGGGCTCTGGGAGGAGATATTGGCAACTGTATCTCAAAATCAGGATGGTGGTGGAGACTTAAGAAGTCTAGTGGTGTGTAAAGAAAAGGCTTCCATGCGACTATCCCTAAGCTGAGATGGAACCTCTCATCTGTGTTAGATGACCCCTGTGCCCCTAGCCCTTCACCTCCTCTACCAGAGCAACCCACACACTGAGGTGTCATTATCTGTCTCTGGTCTGTCTCTCCTGCCAGTTTGTGGCATTCAGAGGTCAGTGATCTTGTCCTGTTTATCTGCAGATCCCTAGTGCTTGGCATAGTACCTAGTGTACAGTGAACACTCAATAAATGTTTGTTGAATGAAGAATGAATAAATGTTACAGGCAAAGTGTATAATCGAGGGATTGCAATCAACTCCAAGCTAATTCCTAGTCAATTCCTAGCAGTGGCTTATGGCCATATTAAACCTTGCATTAGAATGATTTATGATGCCTGGTTTAACACAATGACAATAACATACTCAATGAAGTAATAAATGAATTGTGTTTTAGGCATAGTCACTTGTCAACTAGGAATTTAATTCAGAGTTTCTGTTTCAATCATCAATAAATACTATCACATGCAAATATTTGAGGATCCCAGCTTCATGCTATGGAATTCACGCACACTTAAAATTCAAGCAGCTTTTATGTACTAAAATCCCGTAATTGAGGACCAGCTTCTTCTTCAGTTAAATATTTGGCTTCAGTAAATGTGGTTCATGAATCTACTCTGTTTTTAATTGCTGTAGACATTTGCTCAACATTTTGTTTTACGGCCATTTAAGTAAAGAGATTTTGCTATAATAAAATGTGTATATTTGTTTTGAGTAGGTATCATTATTTTTATGTGAGTGTATCTTGTACAATGCAATTAAAACCTTCAATAGCAACTTGCTTTCGAAATGTATAGAAAAATATGGTCTCAAAAGACTTTTGCTGCAGAAAGATATGAATAAGTAGAAGTATATGAATTGAAGAAAATAAAAATTATTTTCCAGCACCCTGATGGCGTTTCCATTATGTCATTTGCAAATTGTCAAATGCTTTAACCAAGAAAAAAGGAGTAATTTGTGGAGTGAAAAGTTCAAATCACTTTATCCTTCTCCCTCACATCACCTCTTCGCCTACCCTTAACTTGGTCAGCTTGGTCCATTCTCATTCCTGTACCCATGTGAAGTCATAGTAGTTACAGACACTCCTGAGGATTAGCTCTTAGACAAATGGTAAATTTTATTATTTTCTGACTCTGGTAACTTGGGCAAGGATGGACTGTTAAAACTTAAAAATAATTGTGAGTATATTTTATGTTATTTATAGACATTTATGTTATACATATATACACACACACACATACATAATTGTTTACTTTCATGGACACACTGAAAATCATTTCCAGAAATGCTCCATTCCTTAATCATTTATTGAGTTCACCATCTCCTTCTTGGTATTTATTATTCTTTCTACAGCTTTCTGTCATCTTACCTAGGAGAATACACATGCCAAACAGCAGTAAACTCATTTGGTCAAATTCCCATGAAACATAACTAAAGCTTGGCCAGTATGACTCTAAATATTTAGTTGTTTAACAAAAATTCACAGGACTCACCTAAGTGCTGGTTTTTCACCTGAGAGAAGCGGTAAGTTAGAAAGGAGAGTAGTGAGATTCAGGTAGAAAAAAAGTAACTTGCTAAACAGAAGAAGGTGCATTAATTAAGCTAATTGTAGTAGTCAGTCATTTCACAATGTACATGTATATCAAATCATCACATTACACACTTCAACTATATACAATTTTTGTCAGTTATGCCTCAGAAAAGGGGGAGTGGGGAAAGAAGAGCATCTTTTAGAGACATTGTCCAATTTCTATTTGCATTCCCATTATTCCTCCCTCACACACATCCCAGGAAGGGAGGATTATTTGTAAGACAGTTTTAAAAGTATCCTGAGGGTTCTAATGGATAATCTCAAGAGTCTTTTCCCTAGAACAATGAAAGGAAAATTTTGTGTAGAAAAACCTGCATGTATATGAGGAAAATGGGTGATGGCACCATTGATTGAGAAACAAGGAAAACAAGTTTGGCCACACAGTGCTTTTTCTTTTTCCTTTTCTTTATGGTTTTATCAATCTCCTAAAACCCAAACAATATTTTAATTGTAGCCTCTCTAAAGCTCCTTTTATTGTTTCCTTTAGCTTTGCTGCTTTCAGCCTTGTTCCTGAAATTTATGCTATTGTCAGAAATCCTAGATTAAAAATCTAGTAGTGTGGCTAAATGTGCTTAACCCTCTTTCTCTCTAGGTGTTCAACACCCTTATCAAGGGTTCATCTCTTCATTTGGCTGTGTTTATGTAGATGTGCACAAGCAACACACACAGACATATATAGAAACACCCACACCGACACACACACATACACACACACACCCACACTGCAGGAATGGACTTTGGAGCCACTTTGCATCATCACCCCTATTAGGATTATCAGAGTATTGGATTGTGGGTAAAGGAAGATCTATTTCTTTCCAAAGGGTGAGAAAAATGGGAGGGTGTCAGGGAGAGGGAAAAGAGAAGAAAATAAAGTGTGTGTGTTTTGGGTTGGGGGAGGGAGAAAAGGAGAGGGGGAATATGAGTGAGTGTGGAGGGAGGAGGGGAAATGAAAGGATATTATATATTTTTTTGTATCTGTCATTTCCCTGCTATCTCCCATATGACTTCTTAATCCATCAGAATGCTGGGAAGATAATGTTTTGGGCGAAATAACATGAGAGAGAGGATAGACTCCCAAGGACCAATATCTTTATTGCTCGGAGGATAAACGGATTATGTCAGCCATTTTCTGTTGCTGACAGCTTTTCTTATTAACCGATTTTATTTTTTAATCTTCCAGGGAAGAAATATGGTTTTATGTCACAATAAAACGCCGGTCACATCTAATTCTGCCCTCAAACAAACAGATTTCTGAAAGCCTTGCAGAGAAATTTGAAATAACTTTAAAGAGGGGGTTTTTGGATAAAGTCTTTATCCAGGGGCTTGTTCAACTGCAGTGTAAAAGGTTTAGAGAGAGAGGAGAGGAGAGAGAGAGAGAGAGAGAAATAGAGGGAGGGAGAGAGAAGAGAAGAGGGAGAGAAGAAAAGCGGAGAAAGGAAGACCCACACAGCTGTTTTGCTTGGTGATCTCTCTTCAAACACACTGGGGTTTAGTCAGGAAAATGCAGTTTGGATGAAAGAGGGCTGGGTAGATGAAAAGAGGAACAGTGGGCTTCTTCTGGGGCTTTGGGTGTGGGGAACTGCTTACCCACACCTCTCTAAAACTGACACTTCTTCCCAGTTGTTGTTCTGGAACCATTAGGAGTTGATGGTGTGTCTTTCAAGAATCATAAACAAATCAATGTGAATTCTGTGAGGCATTTGGAGCTCAGAGGCAATTCTTGTCTTTTTTTCCATGATTCCTTTGCTAGGAAATTTCAGCCTGCTTGAGGATTTAGGTCTTCAGTTAGCCCCAAGAAAACCTTCTGTCAAACACCGCAGACAACTCTGGCCTTTGCTCACTTCTGTAGGCCTGCAACGAGCACATAGCCATCACTAATATAAAAAACCACTCGTTTCTTCTCTTCTGTGTGGCACAAAGCAATTTAGCCAGACAGGGCTCCTGCCCACCAGGGGCTTAGCCCAGAAAACGTCCTGAATTTGTGCCTCATACTTTGTTCAGTGCCCGGCTCACTGCAGACCCAGTACCTTGACTGATAATGATGGCCGAGTCTTACATTGTGCCCTGCTGGGAAGTATTGGTGATTTAGAGTACTTTAAAAATCTGTTAAAAATAAATTTCTTGGATTTTCTAAGGTGTTGTTTTTTATAAGAGAAATGGGCTTTTCAAAAAAGCATCCTGAAACCTGGGACAATTTGGGAACTTAAAGCTTGTCCTAAGGTGAGTGAGACAGACTAAATACCTCCAGTCAACTGTGAAAAGAGGGGAGATTCAAAGGAATAGGTTGGGCCAAACCTCTTCTTACCTAGGAACAAAAAGATGGGTTTTCCTACTTCATTTCTTTGCCTGGAGAGATAGAGAACTGGTAGAAATGGAGGGAAAAAGGTCATTTAAGGTCTTTGCACCAGAGGGTCATGAGGATAGCCACTCAAAGTGAGCAGCCCAGAGGCTGCTTTGATCTGAAACAAGCCTGAACTTCCAGGAAGTGCTTATGGCTCTAAGCTGTGATTAATTTTTTTTTAAATACACAGGTCTTAAGTGAACAGTTTTATCAGCTTTTGGACATACGTATATACGTGTGTGACCAACACTCCAACCAATGCTGAGAACATTTCCATCGCTCCGGATTTAAGTGAATGGTGCCTCTGGATGTTTGCATTGCACTATCTGTGTGGACCTTTGTGGTGGTCCAGCAGGCAGCTTTGATGAAGATCCACTGATACACAAGATATTGAACAGATTATTTGGCAAGATAATTATATTCTGCTTTTTGGTTTACCAAGTACATTCCCATATACTATCTCAGCATATCCTTTCAAATGATGAAGATAATGATAATAATAATGCAATAACATCATCAATAACAATTACAAACATTGACATATGTTTATCTTGTGTCAAGCACATGTATTACTACATTTATTCCTTTCAACAGTGTTGCATCTATTTTATAGATGTTGAAACTGAAGCAAAGGGAGGTTAAGTAACTGGTCTAAGATCATAGAATGAATATGTGTTAAAGCCTGAGAATCTGTCTCCAAAATTTGTGCTTTTAACTAAATATATGAGGTCTGGAAATGGTAGATGACATATAAACAAAGATCACATAGCCAATTCAAAAGGTAGATGACACATAAACAAAGATCACACAGCCAATTCAATGGTGGCTCTGGATCCTATAATAGGTTTTTTAAGCTTACATCAACCTACCCTTCAGCCTCATTCCCATTGTCCACCCCCATCCTATACTCCTACCAATCCATGCCTCAACCTTACAGAGCTAATTACTGGTCTCTGAGGTTGCTGTCATCTTTTAGGCCTTTGTGCCTTTAAATATGTTCTTTCCTCTTCTCCTACTGGGAAACTCTCACTCATCCTTCGAGGCTTAGCTCCACTGCCACCTCCTCAGTGAACCCCCCTTGAACTGCCTAGTTGAACAGTTTTCACTAAATTATATTAACTAAGACTTATATCTTTAATATTTGATATGGTTTGGCTCTGTGTCCCCACCCAAAATCTCATCTCAAATTGTAATACCCATGTGTTGAGGGAGGGAGGTGATTGGATCATGGGGATGGTTTCCTTCATGCTGTTCTCATGATAGTGAGTGAGTTCTCATGAGATCTGATAATTTTATAAGTGTTTGACAGTTCCTCCTTCACACAGTTCTCTCACCTGCTGCCTTGTAATGAAGGTGCCTGCTTCCCTATCCACCATGATTGTATGTTTCCTGAGGCCTCCCAAGCCATGTAGAACTGAGAGTCAAATAAGCCTTCTATCTTTATAAATTACCCAGTCTTGGGTATTTATTTATAGCAGTGTGAAAACGGACTAACACAATATTAAATGGGGAAGAAGTGCTTGTGTTTACTTCAACTAAGCCTTTGGTTTATGCCTTATCATTTGGAACCCATGGCTGTGAGACACCTACACCAGGTGGTGGCAGTATACTTAGTTAAGGAGTTCCTTTCTAAGACAGAAATAGTATTTTTTCAAAAATTTTTAGAGTTGCTAAAATTCAAGACCATAAGTTACAAAAATGTCATAACGTGGGATGATTTTTATTTACAATTCTGTAACAAAAATAATATGGTCACACCTGTTGGATATCATTAAGGACCCATCTTCCTCCCAGTGAACCTTTACCCAGATTTTGCAATGTGTGGTCAGATCCTTCTTCCTAGAATGCTCCCCACCATTATCTTGCTCATTATTTTCATGTGAGCATCTTAGGGAAACTTTTATAATGCACTTTAACTTAGTAATTCATAACTAATGTCCTGCAACACTGTGCTAAAGGACCTTAATATATAATTCACATAATTCAGAGAAAGAGAGAGAGACACACATATCTAAGTAAGTGAAAACAAGCACGGAAAATGCTGAGCTAAGCTTTGTTAAATTGGTTTCTTGAGAGCAGTACTTTAAAGAGCCTCTATTATGTAGTGTTTCCAAGTCATATTTAAATAGAGAACCCATTTTGGAGAGACTCCAATTAGTATCTTCTATTAGAGCTGTATCACAGCTTGGTAGGCATCCTTCAACTCTAAAGCATAAACACCTTGAGACATTTTTTACTTCAAAGTATATTTTTAATTGTTGCTTTCATATACCTATGTATATTAGACAATATTTACCACAATCTGCATTACGTAATCACTGGGGACTGGAAGGTTTCAGACTCTATTATTCATGCCACTATAAACTGCGGAACCCTTATAAACTTCAATTGACCAGCAAGTGAGGGAGGCTTGGTCCCCATGCAGACCTGCAAAAGGAATTTGCTGTGGAGTCTGCTGTCAGAATGACTGACTGTGGACACAGACTGTGATCCCATGGTGTGGGACATGCAGAACACAAAGTCCTGGGCCACGCCCACAGCAGGCAGAGAAGTTTGTTGTGAGTCTTTGATGCGTTGAGATGGATCAAATGGATCAATTATATTAATTATGAAGCATGGAGATGTATCTGGGCTTTTCCCAAAAACTGAGGTGCCAATGGCTGTCACTAGGTTCCCTTGCATTTGCAGTTCTAACTTAACAAGACATAAAATGAATCATTTGTTGAGACCTTCAGTTTCCTTTTTGTTAGCAATGTGGAATATCAGCATAACAGTACTGTTTCACAGGGTTGTTGAGATAACTGACTGAGATAATGTCCTGAAAAGAATAAACATAGGGTTGGGCATGTAATAAGTATTCAATAAATGGTGACACCTGTTAAAAACCACAATAAAAAAATAAAAAAATAAAATAAAAAAATACTTATAGCAAAGTTTGTGCACTGCATTATTTGGGTCATGCTGCCTTTTGCCACCTTGCAGTTCCCAGCACATAATAAGCTTAAATAATATTTTTAAATGAATGAATACTAGCTTTTGTGGCCTCTGCTTTCAATGACCAGTTTATCTCAATGTACTTATAACAACAGGTTTTCTTTTCTGTTTCTTGGGGATTTTGTGAGACCTTAATGCATTACTGTATTAGTTTCCTGGGCCTGCCACAACAAAGTACCACAAACTGGGTTCCTTAAAATAACAGACATTTATTATCTCACAGTCCAGGAAGCTAAAAGTCCAAAATGAAGGTGTCAGCAGGGCACTGCTCTCTCTCAAAGGGAGAATCTGTAGGGGAGAATCCTTCTTTGCCTCTTCCTGTCTTATAGTGGCTTCCTTTGATCCTTGTTGTTCCTTGGCTTGCAGCTGCATCACTCCAATCTGTTTCTGTTGTCATATGATATTCTTCCTAGGTGTCTCTGTCTTTCCAAGTCATTTTTCTCATCCTATAAGGGCACCAGTTATATTGGATCAGGGCCCACCCTAACGACCTCATAGTAACTTGATTACATCTTCAACGACCCTATTTCCAAATAATATCACACTCATACATACTGAGAGTTAAGACTTCAGCATATCTTTTTGGGGAACACAATGGTTTTAACCTTAGGGGCATTAACATTTACTTTCTCAATAAAAGTTATTTTTTTACTTAATAAAAAGTACATAAACGTTAAGGCCCCTAAGGTTAAAACCATTGCTAGTTAGGGTTTCTGTCACTAACAGCATATGTATCTTAGGTGATATAATGTGGGAAAGACCAAAGTCACAAGGGAATTCTTGGTACTAGGTCCAAAGTACCACAGGAATTATGATTACCTGGCCTGAGACATATGCCTTCCAATTAGTGAGGATGGAGCCAATGTGCTATGATTGGTACTATCAGAACAACATGTGAGGAAAAGGAAGGACAATTTTCCAAAGAGAAGGTTGGGTAAGAGGGTGTAATTACCTGAAGAAGAAGGAAAGGATGTTCAGCAGACCAAAATAGTACATGCCAATTATACAAACTAAATGTCTAACTGCAGAAATGGTGCCAACTCTTAATGGAATATTACCTGGCCATTGAAAGTGTGTTTATGCACATTTCTGTAATAACAAGTATAAATGTTTATAATGATGTTAATATTATAGTATCATTATAAAAGTATATACAAAGTTGTTTTCAAGTTTTCTTTAATAAAGATAATACTTTAAAAATTTTTTGAAACATTAAATTTATGTAGATGAGGCAACCTTGTGCTAGCTATTATAAGAAGCAAACATGGTATTTATGCTGGTATAACAATAAATGACAGAAGAGGAGCCAAGATGGCTGAATAGGAACAGCTCCAGTCTACAGCTCCTAGCATAAGCGACACAGAAGACGGATGATTTCTGCATTTCCACCTGAGGTACCAGGTTCATCTGACTGGGGAGTGCCAGACAGTGGGGGCAGGACAGGGGGTGCAGCGCACCGTGTGCAAGCCGAAGCAGGGTGAGGCATCACCTCACCCGGGAAGTGCAAGGGGTCAGGGAATTCCCTTTCCTAGTCAAAGAAAGAGGTGACAGACGGCACCTGGAAAATCGGGTCACTCCCACCCTAATACTGCACTTTTCCAACAGGTTTAAAAAACGGCACATCAGGAGATTATATCCTGCACCTGACTCGGAGGGTCCTACGCCCACAGAGTCTCGCTCATTGTTGGCACAGAAGTCCCAAATCAAACTGCAAGGTGGCAGCGAGGCTGGGGGAGGGGCGCCCACCATTGCCAAGTTAGTTGTTTGATTAGGTAAACAAAGTGGCTGGGAAGCTTGAACTGGGTGAAGCCCACCACAGCTCAAGGAGGCCTGCCTGCCTCTGTAGGCTCCACCTCTGGGGGCAGGGCACAGACAAACAAAAAGACAGCAGTAACCTCTGCAGACTTAAATGTCCCTGTCTGACAGCTTTGAAGAGAGTAGTGGTTCTCCCAGCATGCAGCTTGAGATCTGAGAACGGGCAGACTGCCTCCTCAAGTGGTTCCCTGACCCCCGAGTAGCCTAACTGGGAGACAGACAACCCCCAGTAGGGGCAGACTGACACCTCACACAGCCGGGTACTCCTCTGAGACAAAACTTCCAGAGGAACAATCAGGCAGCAGCATTTGCAGTTCACCAATATCCGCTGTTCTGCAGCCACTGCTGCTGATACCCAGGCAAACAGGGTCTGGAGTGGACCTCTAGCAAACTCCAACAGACCTGCAGCTGAGGGTCCTGTCTGTTAGAAGGAAAACTAACAAACAGAAAGGACATCCACACCAAAAACCCATCTGTACGTCACCATCGTCAAAGACCAAAGGTACATAAAACCACAAAGATGGGGAAAAAACAGAGCAGAAAAACTGGAAACTCTAAAAATCAGAGCACCTCTCCTCCTCCAAAGGAACGCAGCTCCTCACCAGCAATGGAACAAAGCTGGACAGAGAATGACTTTGATGAGTTGAGAGAAGAAGGCTTCAGATGATCAAACTACTCCGAGCTACAGGAGGAAATTCGAACCAATGGCAAAGAAGGTAAAAGCTTTGAAAAAAAATTAGACGAATGGACAACTAGAATAACCAACGCAGAGAAGTCCTTAAAGGACCTCATGGAGCTGAAAACCAAGGCACGAGAGCTATGTGACGAATGCAGAAGCCTCAGTAGCCAATGCGATCAACTGGAAGAAAGGGTATCAGTGATGGAAAACGAAATGAATGAAATGAAGTGAAGAGAGAAGTTTAGAGAAAAAAAGAATAAAAAGAAACAAACAAAGCCTCCAAGAAATATGGGACTACGTGAAAAGACCAAATCTACATCTGTTTGGTGTATCTGAAAGTGACGGGGAGAATGGAACCAACTTGGAAAACACTCTGCAGGATATTATCCAGGAGAACTTCCCCAATCTAGCAAGGCAGGCCAACATTCACATTCAGGAAATACAGAGAATTCCACAAAGATACTCCTTGAAAAGAGCAACTCCAAGACACATATTTGTCAGATTCACCAAAGTTGAAATGAAGGAAAAAATGTTAAGGGCAGCCAGAGAGAAAGGTCGGGTTACCCACAAAGGGAAGCCCATCAGACTAACAGCAGATCTCTCAGCAGAAACTCTACAAGCCAGAAGAAAGTGGGGACCAATGTTCAACATTCTTAAAGAAAAGAATTTTCAACCCAGAATTTCATATCCAGCCAAACTAAGCTTCATAAGTGAAGGAGAAATAAAATCCTTTACAGACAAGCAAATGCTGAGAGATTTTGTCATCACCAGGCCTGCCCTAAAAGAGTTCCTGAAGGAAGCACTAAACATGGAAAGGAACAACCGGTACCAGCCACTGCAAAAACATGCCAAATTGTAAAGACCATCAAGGCTAGGAAGAAACTGCATCAACTAACGAGCAAAATCACCAGCTAACATCATAATGACAGGATCAAATTCACACATAACACTATTAACTTTAAATGTAAATGGGCTAAATGCTCCAATTAAAAGACACAGACTGACAAATTGGATAAAGAGTCAAGACCCACCAGTGTGCTGCACTCAGGAAACCCATCTCACACGCAGAGACACACATAGGCTCAAAATAAAGGGATAGAGGAAGATCTACCAAGCAAATGGAAAACAAAAAAAGGCAGGGGTTGCAATCTTAGTCTCTGATAAAACAGACTTTAAACCAACAAAGACCAAAAGAGACAAAGAAGGCCATTACATAATGGTAAAGGGATCAATTCAACAAGAAGAGCTAACTATCTTAAATATATATGCACCCAATACAGGAGCACCCAGATTCATAAACCAAGTCCTTAGAGACCTACAAAGAGACTTAGACTCCCACACAATAATGATGGGAGACTTTAACAACCCACTGTCAACATTAGACAGATCAACGAGACAGAAAGTTAACAAGGATATCCAGGACTTGGACTCAGCTCTGCACCAAGCAGACCTAATAGACATCTACAGAACTCTCCACCCCAAATCAACAGAATATACATTCTTTTCAGCAACACACCACACCTACTCCAAAATTGACCACATAATTGGAAGTAAAGCACTCCTCAGCAAATGTAAAAGAACAGAAATTATAACAAACTGTCTCTCAGACCACAGTGCAATCAAACTAGAACTCAGGATTAAGAAACTCACTCAAAACCGCTCAACTACATGGAAACTGAACAACCTGCTCCTAAATGACTACTGGGTAAATAATGAAATGAAGGCAGAAATAAAGATGTTCTTTGAAACCAACGAGAACAAAGACACAACATACCAGAATCTCTGGGACACATTCAAAGCAGTGTGTAGAGGGAAATTTATAGCACTAAATGCCCACAAGAGAAAGCAGGAAAGATCTAAAATTGACACCCTAACATCACAATTAAAAGAACTAGAAAAGCAAGAGCAAACAAATTCAAAAGCTAGCGGAAGGCAAGAAATAACTAAGATCAGAACAGAACTGAAGGATATAGAGACACGAAAAACCCTTCAAAAAATTAATGAATCCAGGACCTGGTTTTTTGAAAAGGTCAACAAAATTGATCAACAAAATTAACACCCCACTGTCAACATTAGACAGATCAACGAGACAGAAAGTTAACAAGGATATCCAGGAATTGAACTCAGCTCTGCACCAAGCAGACTAATAAAGAAGAAAATTAGCAAGACTAATAAAGAAGAAAAGAGAGAAGAATCAAATAGATGCAATAAAAAGTGACAAAAGGGATATCAACACCGATCCCACAGAAATACAAACTACCATCAGAGAATACTATAAACACCTCTATGCAAATATAACTAGAAAATCTAGAAGAAATGGATAAATTCCTTGACACATACATCCTCCCAAGACTAAACCAGGAAGAAGCTGAATCTCTGAATAGACCAATACCAGGCTCTGAAATTGAGGCAATAATCAATAGCTTGCCAACTAAAAAAAGTCCAGGACCAGATGGATTCACAGCCAAATTCTACCAGAGGTACAAAGAGGAGCTGGTACCATTCTTTCTGAAACTATTCCAATCAATAGAAAAAGAGGGAATCCTCCCTAACTCATTTTATGAGGCCAGCATCATCCTGATACCAAAGCCTGGCAGAGACGCAACAAAAAAAGAGAATTTTAGACCAATATCCTTGATGAACATTGATGCAAAAATCCTCAATAAAGTACTGGCAAACTGAATCCAGCAGCACATCAAAAAGCTTATCCACCATGATCAAGTGGGCTTCATCCCTGGGATGCAAGGCTGGTTCAACATACACAAATCAATAAATGTAATCCAGCATATAAACAGAATCAAAGACAAAAACCACATGATTATCTCAATACATGCAGAAAAGGCCTTTGACAAAATTCAACAACCCTTCATGCTAAAAACTCTCAATAAATTAGGTATTGATGGGATGTATCTCAAAATAATAAGAGCTATGTGTAACAAACCCACAGCCAATATCATACTGAATGGGCAAAAACTGGAAGCATTCCCTTTGAAAACTGGCACAAGACAGGGATGCCCTCTCTCACCACCCCTATTCAACCTAGTGTTGGAAGTTCTGGCCAAGGCAATCAGGCAGGAGAAGGAAATAAAGGGTATTCAATTAGGAAAAGAGGAAGTCAAATTTTCCCTGTTTGCAGATGACATGATTGTATATTTAGAAAACCCCATCGTCTCAGCCCAAAATCTTCTCAAGCTGATAAGCAACTTCAGCAAAGTCTCAGGATACAAAATCAATATACAAAAATCACAAGCATTCTTATACACCAATAACAGACAAACAGAGAGCCAAATCATGAGTGAACTCCCATTCACAATTGCTTCAAAGAGAATAAAATACCTAGGAATCCAACTTACAAGGGATGTGAAGGACCTCTTCAAGGAGAACTACAAACCACTGCTCAATGAAATAAAAGAGGATACAAACAAATGGAAGAACATTCCAGGCTCATGGGTAGGAAGAATCAATATCGTGAAAATGGCCATACTGCCCAAGGTAAGTTATAGACTCATTGCCATCCCCATCAAGCTACCAATGACTTTCCTCACAGAATTGGAAAAAACTACTTTAAAGTTCAAATGGAACCAGAAAAGAGCCCGCATTGCCAAGTCAATCCTAAGCCAAAAGAACAAAGCTAGAGGCATCATGCTACGTGACTTCAAACTATACTACAGGGCTGCAGTAACCAAAACAGCATGGTACTGGTACCAAAAAAGAGATATAGACCAAGGGAACACAACAGAGCCCTCAGAAATAATGCCACATATCTACAACTATCTGATCTTTGACAAACCTGACAAAAACAAGCAATGGGGAAAGGATTCCCTATTTAATAAATGATGCTGGGAAAACTGGCTAGCCATATGTAGAAAGCTGAAACTGGATCCCTTCCTTACACCTTATACAAAAATTAATTCAAGATGAATTAAAGACTTACATGTTAGACCTAAAACCATAAAAACCCTAGAAGAAAACCTAGGCAATACCATTCGGGACATAGACATGGGCAAGGATTTCATGTCTAAAACACCAAAAGCAATGGCAACAAAAGCCAAAATTGACAAATGGGATCTAATTAAACTAAAGATCTTCTGCACAGCAAAAGAAACTACCATCAGAGTGAACAGGCAACTTACAGAATGGGAGAAAATTTTTGCAACCTACTAATCTGAGAAAGGGCTAATATCCAGAATCTACAATGAACTCAAACAAATTTACATGAAAAAAACAAACAACCCCATCAAAAAGTGGGCAAAGGATATGAACAGACACTTCTCAAAAGAAGACATTTATGCAGCCAAAAGACACATGAAAAAATTCTCATCATCACTGGTCGTCAGAGAAATGCAAATCAAAACCACAATGAGATACCACCTCACACCAGTTAGAATGGCGATCATTAAAAAGTCAGGAAAGAACAGGTGCTGGAGAGGATGTGGAGAAATAGGAACGCTTTTACACTGTTGGTGGGACTGTAAACTAGTTCAACCATTGTGGAAGTCAGTGTGGCGATTCCTCAGGGATGTAGAACTAGAAATACCATTTGACCCAGCCATCCCATTACTGGGTATATACCCAAAGGACTATAAATCATGCTGCTATAAAGACACATGCACACGTATGTTTATAGTGGCACTATTCACAATAGCAAAGACTTGGAACCAACCTAAATGTCCAACAACGATAGACTGGATTAAGAAAATGTGGCACATATACACCATGGAATACTATGCAGCCATAAAAAATGATGAGTTCATGTCCTTTGTAGGGACATGGATGAAGCTGGAAACCATCATTCTCAGCAAACTATCACAAGGACAAAAAACCAAACACCGCATGTTCTCACTCATAGGTGGGAATTGAACAATGAGAACACATGGACACAGGAAGGGGAACATCACACTCTGGGGACTGTTGTGTGGTGGGGTGAGTGGGGAGGGATAGCATTAGGAGATATACCTAATGCTAAATGGCAAGTTAATGGCTGCAGTACACCAACATGGCACATGTATACATATGTAACAAACCTGCACGTTGTGCACATGTACCCTAAAACTTAAAGTATAATAATAAAATAAAATAAACAACAAATTACTTATTTATAACAAAAAATTCATATAAAACTTTATGCAAAGTTAAACTTGCAAGACACTTGGCATATGAAAAGATATTTAAGGAGGTGAAGAAATGTCAAGAGCAAGAGTTTTGACTGGCACAAAAGGTTTAACCATGACAGGAGACTTTCTGAAAGATGGTGGATTAAAAATAGGTCCAAACTCTTTCTCCTGGCTACTGTAACAGAAAAACAATAGCGTTGTCTGATAAAAAGAAAATCAATAACCCCCAGTGTAAACTTAGAAAATAATGAGCAAATCTAAGTAAATGAAGTGACCCCAATTCAGCTAAGCAATTCTGCAACACCAGCTGAAAAGCTAAGAGAGAGGCAGGACCAACTCCTGAAGGAGGCTTGAATGAGTTGATAAATTTAAATGAAATAAACAATGGTTGCTAAAAACAAAACAAGTTATGAAACCAAAGGACCGCACACAATGTGGAAATGCTATAAAGAGTAAAGAAGGGTCACAAGAGGCTGGTAAGGGCAAAAATCAAGTATAGAAATGCAGATACTCACCAAAGTTTAAATATCTTAGGAAGAGAAGTGGAAAACCATGTATATAGAGGAAATTTATAAATAAAAGTGAACAGCAAATTTTCCCTGAATTTAGAAAGAACAGTTATTCATGTAGCCAAGCTAGATGAATAGGGACATTGGGGCAGTAGATCAGCAAGGAATGGGAGGCTTTCTGCTTTTATTAGCTGCCTAAAAAATTACCATAAACTAAGGGGTTTAAAACAGCAGAAATTTATTCTCTTACAGTTCTGGAGGCCAGAAGTCTAAAATCAAGGTGTCAGCAGAGCATGCCCTTTCTGAAGCCTCCAGGGAAGAAGACTTTGTTTCCTCTTCTAGCTTCTGATGGTAGCCAGCAAAACTTAGTGTTCCCTGTTTTTTGGCAGCATAATTCCAATCTCTTCCTCCATCTTCACATGGTCATCTATCTTCTGTTTGTGTCCAAATTCCCCTTTTCTTATAAAGACAACACTCACTGACTAGGTTAGGGTCCACCCTAATTCAGTATGATCTCTTCTTAATTTGATTACATCGGTAAAGACTTATTTCCAAACAAAGTCACATTCACTGGTTTTGGGTGGACAGTAATTTTGGGGAAACACTATTCAATCCAGTGCACCGCTGTTGAGCCATTTTGGAAGAAACTGAATGAATTCTACTAATATGGGCCAGCACCAAGGGTACTACTCCATGCCTTGTGGTGGAGGAAGGCATGAGCAACAGGCACAACCCCTAAATCTCCATACCCTGTGAGCCCCCACTGACATCCCCCTGCGTCCACCTGGAGGGCTATAGTGGTATAGCACTGATTAGACCCAAAGGTGCTATGGGGTCCCCAATACTCTAGTCCACAGGGAATACTGCTTCCCAGGGAAAGGACAGTGCAGCACACCAAAAAGGCAGCCCCTGGGAAAAAGGAATACAAAGTGCATGTTTTCCAGAGCCTGAGAGCTCCCTGTATGGGGCTGTGAGAATTGACCCCAACTCCAGAAGTGGCACGAACTCTATGATCCACCTCACAAGCAGAGTGTGATCCCCTCCCACTGGCAGAACAGCCACTGTGCTCAGTCTCATGCACATAGAGTGGAACCCCTTCTCCTCCTGGACACACTGCTATGGGCACAGTCTCTGCTACCGCTGCTGGGGGCTAGAGCAGGTGAACCAGAAGGCTGCCTGTCTGGGGCTGTGAGTGGTCACTGTGCTCCCACTGGCAATGTGGCCTTCATGCCTGGACTCATGTGCAAAGGGTAGGGTCACTCCCCACCTCTGCATGGAGCAGTAGTGAGCAGGAGAACCAGAGAGTCTTGTGTCTGGGGCTGTGGGTGGCAACCCTGCACCACAGCCACTGCCAACATCAGTGTGCAGTTCTCAGAATACAGAGGGCTTTCCAGCCTCTTCTATTGCCATTGCCCACATGACTCTGGCTTCCCAGGGACCCAGGAACTTGCTCATCCAGCTGGCCCACCACTGCTAATACCGCATCTGAGCAAGCTTCCTGGAGGTCCAAAAATTCACCCATCTGATTCCACTAACACTGGAGGCAGTGTATGCTGCCCTGGGGCCCAAGATTAGGCATGCTTAGACCACTGCTACCACCACAGAAGTCTGAAGACTGACCCACCAGGCATCTCTATCACCATAAAAGCTCAATAAAGCCTCCACTAATAACTGCATCCAAAGACACCAAGGAAGTCCGATGCCAATGGTGCTGTTTACCACCAAATAAATCATACAAGACTACACTACTGTACACATCCAGAATCAAAGCAAAAGGTCCTACCCAACCAATATCATTGATATATCTTCAGGAAAAAGCCCTCCCCTATGAAAGCAGCAAATCCAAAAAAAAAAAAAAAAAAAAAAAAAAAAAAGACAGGAAAAAGTGACTGTTACACCAGATGCACAGATATCAATGTAAGGAAAACAAGAAGCATGAAAAAGCAAAGAAATATGACACCCCTAAAGGAACACAATTCCACAGCAAGAGATCCCATTAAAAAATAAATTCATGAAACCCTGGAAAAAGAATTCAAAATTATAATACCTAAGAAGCTCAGTGAGGTACAACAGAATTTCAAAAAACAATACAATGAAATCGGAAAAAGAACTCAGGATATGAATGAGAAATACACCAAACAGAGATATATATTAAAAAAGAATCAAAAAGAAATTTTGGAACTGAAAAATTCTTTAAATGAAACACAAAAAGCACTAGAAAACTTCAACAATAGACTAGACCAAGCAGAAGAATTTCAAAACTTGAAGACAGGTCTTTTGAAATAACCACTCAGACAAAATAAAGAAAAAATAATAAAAAAGGATGAGTGAAGACTTATGAGATATGGGACACTATAAAGTGACCAAATATATACATTATTGGTAGCCCCAAAGGTGAGGAATGAAAGAATTTGAAAACTTATTTAATGAAATAATAGATGAAAACTTCCCAAGTCTAGTAAAAGATTCAGACATCCAAATATAGGGGACCCAGCAATCCCCAATTAGATACAATGCAAAAAGGTCTTCTCTATGGCACATTATAGTCAAACTGTCTAAATTCAATGACAAGGAGAAAATTCTAAAATCATCAATAGGAAAGAATCTAGGTACCTGTAAAGGAGCCCCCATCAGACTAACAGTGAACTTCTCAGCAGAAGTCTTGTAGGCCGGGAGAGAATGACAAAATATATTCAAAGTGCTGAAAGAAAAAAAAACCCTGCCACCCAAAGATATTATATACAACACAAGTATCCTTCATAAATGATATACCTGCCTTACAAGAAGTGCTCAATGGAGTCCTAAACCTGTAAGTGAAAAGACTACAGTTACCATCAGGAAAACACATGAAAATAGAAAACTCCTTGTTACAGCAAACACACAAATGCACAAGAGAAAAGACTCAATGGTACCACCACAGAAAATCAGCAAACCACAAGGACAAGAAGTAAGAGAATCAGAAAGGAAAAAGAATATATAAAACAGCCATGAAACAATTAACAATTTGAGAGGAAAAAAACCCTCACATATCAATAAGGGCCCTGAATGTAAACAGACTAAATTCTCTACTTAGAAGATACAGACTGGTTGAATTGATTTTTAAAACAGATACAACTACATGCTGCCTAAAAGAAATGCACTTTACCTGTTGAGGAGCATACATAAACTGAAAGTAAAGGGATTGAAAAAGATATTCCATGCAAATGGAAACCAAAAGCAAGCAACAGTAGTTATATCAGATAAAATAGACTTTAAGTCAAAAACAGTAAAAAAAAGACAAAGAAGGTCATTATATAATGATAAAGGGATCAACCAGCAAGAGGATGTAACAATTCTAAACATATATGCACCCAACACTAGAGCACACACATTCAGAAATAAAAATTGCTGGAGCTAAAGAAAGAGATAGAATTCAATACAATAATAGTTGCAGATGTCAATACTCCGCTCTCAGCATTAGACAGATCAAGTAGACAGAAAATAAACATTTAACTTAAACTGTACTTTAGAACAAATGGACTTAATAAATATTTACAAAACATTTCATCCAGCAACTGCAGAATATACATTCTTCTCATCAGCACATAGAATATTTTCTAGGACTGACCACATGTTAGGTGACAAAACAAGTCACAACAAATTTTTGAAAATCAAAGTCATATCAATCACCTTATCAGACCACAATGGAATAAAACTAAATGTCAAAACCAAGAGGAGCTTTGAAAACTATACAAATACATGGAAATTAAACATGTTCCTGAATGAACATCAGATCAATAAAGAAATTAAAATGGAAGTTTAAAAATTTCCTGAAACAAAAGAAAATGAAAACAAATGAAAATGACATATCAACACTTAAGGGACACAGCAAAAGCAGTGCTAAGAGGAAAGATTATAGCAATAAATGCCTACATAAAAAAACCCAGGGCCGGGCGTGGTGGCTCACGCCTGCAATCCCAGCACTTTGGGAGGCCAAGGTGGGCGGATCACGAGGTCAGGAGATCGAGACCACCCTGGCTAACACGGTGAAACCCCATCTCTACTAAACAATACAAAAAATTAGCCAGGCATGGTGACGGGAGCCTGTTGTCCCAGCTGAGGCAGGAGAATGGCGTGAACCCGGGAGGCGGAGCTTGCAGTGAGCGGAGATCACGCCACTGCACTCCAGCCTGGGCGACAGAGCAAGACTCTGTCAAAAACAAACAACAAACAAAAAACCCAGAAATATTTCACATAAACAATCTAATGATGTACCTCAAGGAACTGGAAAAGCAAGAACATCAAATTAACAGAAGAAAAGAAATAATAAAGATCAGAGCAGAAGTAAACTAAAATAAAGACTAAAAAAAATACAAATCATCAACAAAACAAAAAATTGTTTCTTCCAAAAAATAGTTGATATGGTTTGGCTGTGCCCTCACCAAAATCTCAACTTGAATTGTGTCTCCCAGAATTCCCACGTGCTGTGGAAGGGACCCAGTGGGCGGTAATTGAATCACAGGGGCCGGTCTTTCCTGTCCTATTCTCGTGATAGTGAATAAGTCTCATGAGATCTGATGGGTTTATCAGGGTTTTCTGCTTTTGCTTCCTCCTCATTTTTCTCTTTCCGCTGCCGAGTAAGAAGAGCTTTTCACCTCCTGCCATGATTCTGTGGCCTCCCCAGCCATGTGGAACTGTAAGTCCAATTAAACCTCTTTTTCTTCCCAGTCTTGGGTATGTCTTTATCAGCAGCATGAAAACGAACTAATATAAAAGCCAAAATGATAAACTGCTTACTAGAATAACCAAGAAAAGAAGAGGGATTATTTAAATAAACAAAATTAGAAATGAAAAAGGAAACATAACTGATACAAGAGAAATACAAAAGATCACCAGAGACTATTGTGAATAACTGTACACTAACAAACTGGAAAACCTAGGGGAAATGGATACATTCCTGTACACATAAAATCTACCAAGGTTGAATCAGGAAGAAATAGAAAACCTGAACAGCCCAATAATGAGCAGTGAGGTTGAATCAGTAATAAAAAAAATTCCCCAAAAGAAAAGTCCAGAACTGGATGTTTTCACTGCAGAATTCTACCAAACATATAAAGAAGAACCAATGTCAGTCCTCCTCAAATGATTCCAAAATATTGAAGAGAAAGGGATTCTCCCTGACTCATTCTATGAGCCAGCATTAGCCTGATACCAAAACCAGAAAAAATACAACAAAAAACTACAGGCCAGTATCCTTCATGAATACAGATACAAAAATCCTCAACGGAATACTAGCAAACTGAATCCAACAGCACATAAAAAAGATAATACACATGATCAAATGGGGTTTATCCCAAGGAAACAAGAACTGTCCAACATACACAGATCAATAAAAGTGATACATCACATCATCAGAATAAAGGACAAAAATCATATGATCATCTCAATAAATGCAGAAAAAGCATTTGATAAAATTCAATATCCATTCATGATAAAAACTCTCAACACACTAGGCATAGAAGGACCATAGCTTAAAGTAATAAAGGCTATATATGACAAACCCACAGCTAACATCATCCCAAATGGGAAAAAGTTGAAAGCTTTTCCTCTAATAACTGGAAAAAGACAAGGATGCCCACTTTCACCACTCCTATTCAACATGGTACTACATGTCCTAGTCAGAGCAATTAGGCAATATTTATTGCACTTAATGCCTACAAAAGAAAACAAGAAAGGTGTCAAATTAATAACTTCATCTTCCACCTTAAGAAACTAGTAAATGAAGAGCAAAGTGAACTCAAAGTAGGCAGAAGAAAGGTCTTAAATCAATGACTATGCTTCTTCCTTAAAACGCTAGAAAAATAAGAGCAAATTAAACTCAGAGTAAGTGGAAGAAGTAAAATAATAAAGCTCAGATTAGGAATCAAATGAAATAGAAAAGAGAAAAAAAACCAGAAAATCAATAAAATCAAAATCTGATTCTTTGAGAAGATTGATTAAAATTAATAAGTAGCTAGCCAGATTTATCAAGAGGAAAAGAAAAACAAATTTTAAAATATCAGGAATGATAGAGAATATATTATTAAAGGTTCTAAGGATATTAAAAAGGATAACAAAAGGATATTGTGAAAAACTTTGCCAATAAATCCAACAATTTAGGTGAAGTGGAAAAATTATTTGAAAGATGCAAACTGCCAAAGTTCATTCAAGAAAAAATAGAGAACATAAATAACTGTGTATCTATTGGCTAAATTGAATTTGTAGTTTAAAATTCTCCTACAAAGAAAACTTCAGACTCAGGTAATTACACCATATACCAAACATATAATACCTATTCTACATGAACCTTTCCAGAAAACTGAAAAGAAGGAAATACTTTCCAACTCATTTTATAAGACCAGCCTTACTCTGCCCCCCAAAACATGAAAATGACATTACAAGGAAAGAAAATTATAGAAAAACATACCACGTGAACTGGACAGAGGATAAAAATTCTAAACAAAATTTTAGCAATTTGGATCCAATAATATGCAAAAAGCATAATATATTATGACCAATCATAGCATACTCCAGGAATGTATGGTTGGTTTAACATTTGAAAATGAATCACAATAATTTACTAAATTAAAAAACTAAAAGAGAAAAACCATATGATTATCTTAACAGAGATGAAAAACACTTGATAGTATTTAAAATAATTCACAATAAAAATTTCCAGCAAAGTAGGAATAGAAGGAAACATCTTCAAACTGATAAAAGCCTTCTACCGGAAACCTACAGCTAACATTATTCTTTATGGTTAAATACAGAATGATTCTTCCCCCTCAACCCCCATCCCATCTAAGGTTAAGGAAAAGACAAGGATGTCTACTCCCACCACTTCCATTCAACACTGTACTGAAGGGTCACAATAAGGCAAGAAAAAGAAATAAAAGGCATCTAGATGAGAAAGAAAGAAAGAAAGAAAGCTGTTTTCAATTCACAGATGACATTATCATCTATGTAGAAAATCTGATTGAATCTACAGAAAAAGCTGCTGCAACTAATAAGTGCATCAAGCAAGATTGCATGATACAAGATCAATATATAAAAATCAACTGTATTCCATATATTAGCAATAAACAATGAGAAATTGAAATAAAAATACCTTTTACAAAAGCATGAACAAATAGGAGTTACTTAAGAATAAATCTGACAAAAGATGTTCGAGCCTATACTCTGCAAACTAAAAATCATTCCTGAAAGAAATTAATAAAAAGATTCCATAAAGGCTTCTATTAATTAAAACCATAAACAAATGGGAGGATATACTGAATTTATGGGTTGGAAGACTTGATAATGCTAAGATGTCACTTTTCTCCAAATTGATCTACAGATTCAGTGCAATCCAAGTCAAAATCCCAGCAGGCTTTTTTTTTGGTAGAAATAGACAAATCAAATCTGAAATTCATGTGGAAATGCGAAGGACATAGAAGAAGCAAATCAACTGTTAAAAATAATAACACAGAGGAGAAACAACATCTCATTTCAAGGCATATTATAAAACTGCATTAATTTAGACAGTGTGATATTGATACCAAGATAGGCAAATAGAATATTGGAACACAATAGAGAGTCCAGAAATAGGCTCACACATATGTGGATGTATACTGGTTTTTTAAAAAAATTTTCTAAATTTTTAAACATTAAAATTCATCACTAACCATATACGGATTTTGGACAAAGGTGCAAAGACAATACAATAGAGAAAAGATTTTGACTTTTCAACAAATGGTGCTGAAAAAAGTGTTTATAATATGCAATACTCAAATCACATCTCACAATAATTCAAAAATTAATTCAAAATGGACCATATACCTAAACTTAAAGCATGAGTCTATCAGGTTTCCATGAGAAAATATTAAAAAAAAACTTTTTTGACTTTGGATTAAACAAATACTCCTGAGATACCACACCAAAAGCACGATCCAATAAAAGACAAATTGCTAAACAGAATGTCATCAAAATTAAAATGCCATACCTTTGAAAGATACTGTTAAGAGAATGAAAATACAAGCCACAGACTAGAAGGAAATGTTTTAAATACATATATCTGATAAAGAACTTTATCAGAATATTAAAAACTCTCAAAACATAATAAAAAAGTAATTAATGGGCTAAAAATTGTAATAGGCATTTTACCATGGAAGTTATATGGATAGCAAATAAGCACATGGAAAGATGCACAGCATCATGTGTCATTAGGGAAATGCAGATTAAAACCAGAAGATAATATCATTTCACACTTATTAGAATGGCTGAAATTAAAAAGACTGCCCATGCCAAGTATTGGGAAAAATGTGAGTAATTAGAACCCTCATAAATTGCTGATGGGAATATAAAATGGCACAACCAATTTGGAAAACAAACTGTTAGTTTCTTCAAAAGCTAAATATTCACCTACCATATGATATAGTTATTCCACTCCTAGGTATTTACCCAAGAGTGAAACCGTATATTCAAAACCATACAAGATTTTGCAGCTCTCTTTATAATAGTCCCAAATTGGAAACAACATAGATATCCATCATTAGTTTAATGGATAAAAAAATTATGATACATCCAAATAATGGAATATTATTGACCTGCAAAAACAAATCAACTATTAAAACATACTATAACAAGGATGAATATCCATGTAATAAATACGGATGAAAAATCTAGAAAGAAAAGACTATGTACATCTGATTCCATTTATTGAAAATTTGGAAAATGCATACTAATCTATAGTATGGAAAGAAAAATCAGTGATTATCTGGCAACAGGGTGGATTATGGGCAGGGAGGAGTAGAGTAAGGGATTGGAAAGGAACAAGGAAATTTTGAGAGTAATGGAGATCTTCATTGTCTTGATAGTTTCATGAATGTATGCATATACAAAACTTATAAAATTTGACTATACCCTGTGAGGATGGATGAAATAGAAATAATGACAAATCCCAAGGTCAATGAGGATGTAGGGCAATTGTAACTCATACATTGCTAGAGCAATAAAAATTGATAAAAATCATTTTGGAAAACTCCTCAGCAGTGTTTATCTACTGTCAAATACTGCATACCTTGTCTTCATACTGCATACTCTATAACCCATTAATTTCACTTCTGGGCATACATAAACAACAAAATTTAGCCTTTTTTTTTGAGACAGGGTCTTGCTTTGTCACCTAGGCTGGAGTGTAGTGGCACAATAACTGTTGTCTTCAATGGCTCACTGCCGATTCAGTCTTCCGGGGTCTCAAGTGATCCTCCTGCCTCAGCTTCCTGAGTAGCTGTGACTATAGGTGCATACCACCATGCTTAGATTTTTTTAAAATTTATTTTTTGTAGAGACAGAGTCTCACTATGATGCCCTGGCTGATCTCAAACTCCCGGGCTCAAGTGATCTTCTCACCTTGGCCCCCAAAAGTGCTGGGATTGCAAGCACGAGCCACTGTGCCTGGCCTTGTTTATTTTCTTAACCATGAAAAAATATGTACAAGAATCTTTATAACAACCGTATTCATAATGATTAATGACTGAAAGCAGCCTACGTCTATGATCCATATAATAGATAAGTAAATTGTGATATGTTCACAACTATGAAATCTATTGATATACGTAACAACATAGATGAATCTCATGGATATAATGTTAAGCAATAGAAGCCAGTCACAATACATACTGTATATATTAGTTTTCTATTTCTTCTTTAACAAATTACCCCAAACTAAGTGGTTTAAAACAACACAAATTCATTATCTTACAGTTCTAGAATCAGAAGTCAAAAATCAGTTTTGGTGGGCTACAATTAAGGTGTCAACAGGGTTCTGTTTCTTCTGGAGGCTGGAGGGGAGAATTCGTTCCCTTACCTTTCACAGTCTCTAGGCTCCACCACCTTCAAAGCCTGCAGCATAGCATCTTCCAATCACCTTCTCTCTCTCCCTCTCCTCCTTTTCACTATCTGTGCCTGTTTTCATCTCTCCTTCTTTAACTCTCCTGCCTCCTGCTTTCTTTCATATGGGCCCCTGCGATTACACTGGGCCCACCCACAGAATCCAAGGTAATTCCCCCATCTCAAGATTCTTAATCATATCTACAGTCCGTTTTTTTTTTTTTTCCATGTAAGGCAATATAGTCACAGGTTTCAAAGATTAGGACTTGAGCATCTTTATTTGGGGTGGGAAAAAGGGCATTATTCCGCCTTGTACACTATGATTCAATTTATATGGAGTTTAAAATAGGCAAAACTAATCTCTGGTGACAAAAGCCAGGACAGTAGTTACCTTTAGAACCATCAACTGGTAGAACCAGAAAGGCATCTACTAGGATACTGGATATCTTTTATAACTTAATCTGTAGGTGTATACTTAAAATTTTTGCACTTTAGGTTATGCAAGTTATAGCTGAATAAAAATAAACATAAATTAATAGAAATCCTGGAATAAAAAATAGATTAAATCTTGTAGAATATAGAACAGCTAAAAATACTTGAAGGATATGGACAGGTAAAAGTACTAGGGAAAAGTTAAATGACGAAAAAGACCAGTCCAGGAAAGGCAATATCTAATTATCAGGAATTCCATAAACAAAAAAATCGAGAAGGTACACATGTAGGAAGAAATATTAAAAGAAATAATAAGAAAATAATATGTCAGAGTTGAAGAAAGACAAGCTTTCATTGAGAGGATAGCTGAGTGCTAAGCAGGATAACCACATGTGTCTTGATTATATATAAGAAGTTCAAGGATAAAAACCCTGAAAGCTTTCAAATAGAATAAGAGTATATTATCTATGAAAGTCCTATTGCCATCAGTAATATTGAATTTACAAGGCAATGAAGCATTACATTTACATTCAGAAAGAAAATCATGTTGAATCAGAATTTTATACCCAGCAAAATAATCATTCCATGCACTTTTTCTTAAAAAACAAACAAAAAACAAGAGGCTGTAGTTCAGCAAAAGGAAGTGAGACAGTTCCAAGAAACTGTGGAGTTAGCTCAAGGTAAATATTTCAGCATGACGGTCATGCAGCAGATGAGAAATCAATTGATCCAAATTAGAATAGGAAGTCAGAGGGCTCCAAAACTGTTGTCTTTAATATAGAAGTGAACTCTGTTGAGCAAACACTGTGATTAAGAAGCAAGAGAATTCTTATGATATGTAGATGTTATATCTCTTTTTTGAGCAACAACAAGAAATGGAATTAAAAACTCTAATGGTCCAACATGGCCGAATAGGAACAGCTCTGGTCTGCAGCTACCAGCATGATTGACGCAGAAGACAGGTGATTTCTGCATTTCCAACTGAGGTACCTGGTTCATCTCACTGGGACCGGTTGGACAGTGGGTGCAGCTCACGGAGGGCAAGCTGAAGCAGGGCAGGGCGTCGCCTCACCCAGGAATCAAAAGGGGTCAGGGGATGTCCCTTTCCTAGCCAAGGGAAGCCGTGACAGACTGTACCTGGAAAAATGGGACACTCCCACCCAAATACTGCATCTTTCCCAAGGTCTTAGCAACTGGCAGACAAGGAGATTCTCTCCTGTGCCTGGCTCAGTGGGTCCCACACCAATGGAGCCTTGCTCACTGCTAGCGCAGCAGTCTATCGAACTGCCAGGCGACAGCCTGGCTGGGGGAAGGGCATCCGCCATTTCTGAGGCTTGAGTAGGTAAACAAAGCAGCTAGAGAAGCTCAAACTGGGCAGAGCCCACTGCAGCTCAGCAAGGCCTACTGCCTCTAGACTACACCTCTGTGGGCAGGGCTTAGCTGAACAAAAGGCAGCAGACAAATTCTGCAGACTTAAACATCCCGAAGTCTGACAGCTCTGAAGAGAGCAGTGGTTCTCCCAACATGGTGTTTGAGCTCTGAGAATGGACAGACTGCCTCCTCAAGTGGGTCCCTGACCCCTATGTAGCCTAACTGGGAGACAACTCCCAGTAGGGGCCAACAGACACCTCATATAAGCGGGTGCCCCTCTGGGAGGAAGCTTCCAGAGGAAGGATCAGGCAGCAATATTTGCTGTTCTGCAATATTTGCTGTTCTGCAGCCTCTGCTGGTGATACCCAGGCAAACAGAGTCTGGAGTGGACCTCCAGCAAACTCCAACAGATCTGTAGCTGAGGGACCTGACTGTAAGAAGGAAAACTAGCAAACAGAAAGGAATAGCATCAACATCAACAAAAAGGACATCTACATCAAAACCCCATCTGTAGGTCACCTACATCAAAGATCAAAGGTAGATAAAACCACAAAGATGGGGATAAACCAGAGCAGAAAAGCTAAAAATAATTCTAAAAATCAGAGTGCCCTTTCTCCTCCAAAGGATCACAACTCCTCGCCAGCAATGGAACAAAGCTGGGCAGAGAATGACTTTGATGAGTTGATAGAAGTAGGCTTCAGAAGGTCGGTAATAACAAACTTCTCTGAGCTAAAGGAGCATGTTCAAACCATCACAAGGAAGCTAAAAACCTTGAAAAAAGGTTAGATGAAGGGTTAACTAGAGTAAACGGTGTAGAGAAGACCTTAAATGACCTGATGGAGCTGAAAACCATGGCACGAGAACTTCGTGATGCATGCACAAGCTTCAATAGCTGGTTCGATCAAGTGGAAGAAACGGTATCAGTGATTGAAGATCAAATTAATGAAATAAAGCAAGATGACAAGGTTAGAGAAAAAAGAGTAAAAGGAAATGAACAAAGCCTCCAAGAAATATTGGACTATGTGAAAATACCAAATCTACATCTGATTGGTGTACCTGAAAGTGATGGGGAGAATGGAGCCAAGTTGAAAAACAGTCTTCAGGATATTATCTGGGAGAACCTCCCCAACCTAGAAAGGCAGGCCAACATTCAAATTCAGGAAATACAGAAAACACCACAAAGATACTCTTCCAGATGAGCAACCCCAAGACACATAATTGTCAGATTCACCAAGGTTGAAATGAAGGAAAAAATGTTAAGGGCAGCCAGAAAGAATGGTTGAGTTACCCAAAAAGAGAAGCCCATCAGAATAACAGCGGATCTCTCAGCAGAAACCCTACAAGCCAGAAGAGAGTGGAGGCCAATATTCAACATTCTTAAAGAAAAGAATTTTCAACCCAGAGTTTCATATCCAGCCAAACTAAGCTTCATAAGTGAAGGAGAAATAAAATCCTTTACAGAAAAGCAAATGCTGAAAGATTTTGTCACCACAAGGCCTGCCTTACAGGAGCTCCTGAAGGAAGCATTAAACGTGGAAAGAAACAACCGGTACCAGCCACTGCAAAAACATACCAAATTGTAAAGACCATCAATGCTATGAAGAAACTGCATCAATTAACGGGCAAAACAATCAGCTAACATCATAATGACAGGATCAAATTCACAAATAACAATATTAACCTTAAATGTAAATGGGCTAAATGCCCCAATTAAAAGACACAGACTGGCAAATTGGATAAAAAGTCAAGACCCATCAGTGTGTGCTGTATTCAGGAGAAACATCTCACGTGCAAAGACTCACATAGGCTCAAAATAAAAGGATGGGGGAAAATCTACCAAGCAAATGGGGAGCAAAAAAAAAAAAAAAAAAAAAAAAAGCAAGGATTGCAATTGTAGTCTCTGATAAAATGGACTTTAAACCAACAAAGATCAAAAGAGACAAAGAAGGGCATTACATAATGGTAAAGGGATCAATTCAGCAAGAAGAGCTAACTATCCTAAATATATATGCACCCAATACAGGAGCACCCAGATTCATAAAGCAAGTCCTTAGAGACCTAAAAAAGAGACTTAGACTCCCACACAATAATAATGGGAGAATTTAACACCCCATTGTCAATATTAGATCAATGAGAGAGAAGCTTAACAAGAATATCCAGGACTTGGACTCAGCTCTGCACCAAGCAGACATCTCCACCCCAAATCAGCAGAATATACAGTCTTGTCAGCATCACACTGAACTTATTCTAAAATTGACCACATAATTGGAAGTAAAGCACTCCTCAGCAAATGTAAAAGAACAGAAATCACAACAAACTTGTCTCTCAGACCACAGTGCAATCAAATTAGAACTCAGGGTTAAGAAACTCACTCAAAACCACACAACTACATGGAAACTGAACAACTTGCTCCTGAATGACTACTGGGTAAATAACGAAATGAAGGTAGAAACAAAGGTTTTCTTTGAAACCAACGAGAACAAAGACACAACGTACCAGAATCTCCGGGACACATTTAAAGCAGTGTGTAGAGGGAAATTTATAGCACTAAATGCCCACAAGAGAAAGCAGGAAAGATCTAAAATTGACACCCTAACATCACAATAATAGAACTAGAGAAGTAAGAGCAAACACATTCAAAAGCTAGCAGAAGGCAAGAAATAACTAAAATCAGAGCACAACTGAAAGAGATAGAGACACAAAAAACCCTTCAAAAAATCATTGAATCCAGGAGCTGGTTTTTTAAAAAGATCAAGAAAATTGATAGACCACTAGCAAGACTATTAAAGAATAAAAGAGAAAAGAATCAAAAAGATGGCATAAAAAAAGATACAGCGAACATCACCACTGATCCCACAGAAATACAAACTACCATCAGAGAATACTATAAACACCTCTATGCAAATAAACTAGAAAATCTAGAAGAAATGGATACATTCCTCGACACATACATACTCCCAAGACTAAACCAGGAAGAAGTTGAATCTCTGAATAGACCAATAACAGGCTCTGAAATTGAGGCAATAATTAATAGCCTACCAACAAAAAAAAGTCCAGGACCAGACAGATTCACAGCTGAATTCTACCAGGGATACAAAGAGGAGCTGGTACCATTCCTTCTGAAACTATTCCAATAAATAGAAAAAGAGGGAATCCTCCCTAACTCATTTTATAAGGCCAATGTCATACTGCTACCAAAGCCTGGCAGAGACACAACATAAAAAGAGAATTTTAGACCAATATCCCCGATGAACATCGATGCAAAAATCCTTAATAAAATACTGGCAAACCGAATCCAGCAGCACATCAAAAACCTTATCCACCACAATCAGGTTGGCTTCATCCCTGGGATGCAAGGCTGGTTCAACATACACAAATCAATAAACATAATCCATCGCATAAACAGAACCAATGACAAAAACCACATGATTATTTTAATAGATGCAGAAAAGGCCCTTGACAAAATTCAACAGCCCTTCATACTAAAAACTCGCAATAAACTAGGGATTGATGGAATGTATCTCAAAATAATAAGAGCTATTTATGACAAACCCACACCCAATATCATACTGAATGGACAAAAACTGGAAGCATTCCCTTTGAAAAGCAGCATAAGACAAGGATGCCCTCTCTCACCACTCCTATTCAACATAGTGTTAGAAGTTCTGGCCAGGGCAATCAGGCAAGAGAAAGAAATAAAGGGTATTCAATTAGGAAAAGAGGAAGTCAAATTGTCCCTGTTTGCAGATGACATGATTGTAGATTTAGAAAACCCCATTGTTTCAGTCCAAAATCTCCTTAAGCTGATAAGCAACTTCAGCAAAGTCTCAGGATACAAAATCAATGTGCAAAAATCACAAGCATTCCTATACACCAATAATAGACAAACAGAGAGCCAAATCATGAGTGAACTCCCATTCACAATTGCTACCAAGAGAATAAAATACCTAGGAATCCAACTTACAAGGGATGTGGAGGACCTCTTTAAGGAGAACTACAAACCACTGCTCAATGAAATAAAACAGGACACAAACAGATGGAAGAACATGCCATGCTCAAGGATAGGAAGAATCAATATCATGAAAATGGCCATACTGCCCAAGGTAATTTATAGATTCAATGCCATCCCCATCAAGCTACCAATGACTCTCTTCACAGAATTGCAAAAAACTACTTTAAAGTTCATATGGAACCAAAAAAGAGCCCACATTGCCAAGACAATCCTAAGCAAAAAGAAAAAAGCTGGAGGCATAATGCTACCTGACTTCAAACTACACTATAAGGCTACAGTAACCAAAACAGCATGATACTGGTACCAAAACAGATATATAGACCAATGGAACAGAAAAAAGGCCTCAGAAATAACACCACACATCTACAACCATCTGATCTTTGACAAACCTGACAAAAACAAGAAGTGGGGAAAGGGTTCCCTGTTTAATAAATGGTGCTGGGAAAACTGGCTAGCCATTTGTAGAAAGCTGAAACTGGATCCCTTCCTTACACCTTATACAAAAATTAATTAAAGATGGATTAAAGACTTAAATGTTAGACCTAAAACCATAAAAACCCTAGAAGAAAACCTAGGCAATACCATTCAGGACATAGGCATGGGCAAGGATTTCATGACTAAAATACCAAAAGTAATGGCAACACAAGCCAGAATTGACCAATGTGATCTAATTAAACCAAAGAGCTTCTGCATGGCAAAAGAAACTACCATCAGAGTGAAGAGGCAACCTACAGAATGGGAGAAAATTTTTGTAATCCACCCATCTGACAAAGGGCTAATATCCAGATTCTAGAAAGAACTCAAACAAATTTACCAAAAAAAAACAAAACAAAACAAAAAAAAAAACAACCCCATCAAAAAGTAGGCAAAGGATATGAACAGACATTTCTCAAAAGAAGACATTTATGCAGCCAACAGACACATGAAAAAATGCTCATCATCACTGGTCATCAGAGAAATGCAAATCAAAACCACAATGAGATACCATCTCACGCCAGTTAGAATGGCAATCATTAAAAAGTCAGGAAACAACAGATGCTGGAGAGGATGTGGAGAAATAGGGACACTTTTACACTGTTGGTGGGAGTGTAAATTAGTTCAACCATTGTGGAAGACAGTGTGGCAATCCCTCAAGGATCTAGAACTAGAAATACCATTTGACCCAGCAATCCCATTACTGGGTTTGTACCCAAAGGATTATAAATCATGCTACTATAAAGACACATGCACATGGATGTTTATTGCAGCACTATTCACAATAGCAAAGACTTGGAACCAACCCAAACGTCCATTAATGATAGACTGGATTAACAAAATGTGGCACATATACACCAGGAATACTATGCAGCCATAAAAAAAGATGAGTTCATGTCCTTTGCAGGGAAGTGGATGAAGCTGGAAACCATCATTCTCAGCAAACTATCACAAGGACAGAAAACCAAACACCACATGTTCTTACTCATAGGTGGGAATTGAACAATGAGATCACTTGCACACAGGGCAGGGAACATCACACACCGGGTCCTGTTGTGGGGTGGGGGGCTGGGAGAGGAATAGCATTAGGAGAAATACTTAATGTAAATCACGAGTTGATGAGTGCACCAAACCAACATGGCACATGTATACCTATGTATCAAACCTGCACATTGTGCACATGTACCCTAGAACTTAAAGAATAATTTTTTTAAAAAATAGAAAAAAAACTCTAATGAAATATTATTTATTGGCTGTCAATTTTAAAATCTATAAGAGACATATTGAAATTACTAATATATTATTCTTACAATTGAAAAGAAGTGGTAAAACAGAATTCCAGGAAGGAGGAGGAACAGAGGTAGAGGACAGTACAAGAAGATTAATTTCATCATTAAATACAAATTAGAGTATCAAGAGATACTGTCTAAAGTTGATTAAGCAATAAATAAAATTTAAAGTGTATTTTTAAAAAGTTATACTAGTACAAGTAGTTCCCATTTTGCATGGTAACATGGGGTCAAAAAGTGACTGCACATGCTTCAATTACACAGTTGCTTTAATTATCAATGGAAAACATTTGTTTGTTCCATGACCTCTAAAAATTGTTGCTGAAACATTAAAATCTTTCTTACTGTTGTTTGTAAATGTATAGAGAAATAAAAATAGTAAAACTAATATTTATACTATAATGTCAAACATTAGAAACATTTAGAGTTAAAGTGTTTTATTTATTTCTAAAGAACTATCAAGAGAAGTTTGAATGGTTCTTTACTTCTTAAAATGGAAAGTGAGAATCCTTTTGATGCCTTGACAAATTGACATACTCCTTTCTAAGTTTGGATCAGCTCCTAATATTTTATCTTTTTTGCTTTCAATGTCTTAAAATATCCCTGAGAATTCCTTTAGCATGAAGATTTTGCTGGGATGTTCTTCTGGGACATCTTCATCCTTTTCATCACCAAGACCTATTTGTATCCCTAAGTTGCCATCAAGTTCCTCTGGCAGCATATCTAGAGTTTCTTGAATGCCAGCAGTGTCAGCATTCCTATAGTTAGCTATGTCTTCTATAACTCTGTTTATGTTTGATTTAAATTTAACCTCCAGTGTTACTACTTTCCATTTCCTGTTTTTTACTTTTGTCTTTTTTGGCCAATTCCTCTTCAATTATCCATTTTTGTAAAATGTCACCTGGATTAAGAAAATGTGGCACATATACACCATGGAATACTATGCAGCCATAAAAAAGGATGAGTTCATGTCCTTTGTAGGGACATGGATGAAATTGGAAATCATCATTCTCAGTAAACTATCGCAAGGACAAAAAACCAAACACCACATGTTCTCACTCACAGGTGGGAACTGAACAATGAGAACACATGGACACAGGAAGGGGAACATCACACTCTGGGGACTGTTGTGTGGTGGGGTGAGGGGGGAAGGATAGCATTAGGAGATATACCTAATGCTAAATGACGAGTTAATGGGTGCAGCACAACAGCATGGCACATGTATACATATGTAACTAATCTGCACATTGTGCACATGTACCCTAAAACTTAAAGTGTAATAATAATAAAATTAAATTAAATTAAATTAAATTTTTTTAAAAATGTCACATACGGTTATCAATGGGAAGCGAGAAGGCAATAAAACTAGATTTACTGTCTGTGTGTTTTGCTGTCTTTGTTATCAGTCAGACAGATTTTGAAAAAGGTTATCTAATTGGTTCCTAACCGTAATGTACATTATGTAGTGATTTGTGGACTAAAGAGTAACATCTATGTTTGTACTTTATGCAATTACTCCCAGGCAATATTTTTAAAACATTAATGTGAGTGTAGTTTAAAATTCCCTCTTGACCTTTCCAGTCAATTTCTTACCCTGTCCTTTGCACAATCAACCATAATTCTGAGTTCTATCACTATAAATTAGTTTTGTCTGCCCTTAAATGACTATAAATGGAATCACAATAAAGTGTGTACTCTTTTGTGCCTGACTTCTTTCACTTAACATGTTATTTTTGAGAGTCATTCATGTTGTATGTATCAATGGTTCCTTATTGGTTATTGTCGAGTGATGTTGACATATAATTTAAAAAATTTAAACATGTTTTCATAGTAAAACATTAAAGAAGTACAAAAGTAAAAAATAAAATTTTTTGAACTCTCCAATTTCTGTTCTTAACAAGGGACCATTATTAACAGTTGCTTGTCTAGACATTTTTTCTGCATGTATAGAGTATTTCTAATCTTAAAATAACCATAGACATATGACTCATGTTTATTTTCCTTATTCCCTTCAGGCAATAGCATAAACTCTTGATTAACTTATATCATAATAGAGAGACTCACTGATATTTCCAAACCTCACACTTGACTTTCTATTATTTTCCATCTTAGTTATTTGTAACCAATTCTTTTAATTGGTTAGGCCAGACATCTTGTGATCATCTTTGACTCCTTTTAGTTACTTCCTTGGCACATCTTTTCACTCTACCTTTAATTATATCCAGAATCTGATTATTTTTCACCTTTTCCACTTCTACTACCCAGTAAAAGCCAACATTACTTTTCACCCGGATCATTGCAATCTCTTCCCAAAGCATTTAAAAAATTACTCCTCCTTCCCTCTCTTTCCCTTTTCGGAGTAGTCCATTCCCCAGAGAGCTGCCAAGGTGAGCATGTGAATACCTAACTTGGATCACGCTGCATCTGGGCACGAGACACTCTAAGGGCTTCCCATCCTACTCAGAGTAAAAGCCAAAGTGTTCACACTATCCTACAAGACCTTGCATAATTTAACTCCCATAAACTCTCTGATTTCATCTTCTATTGTTATTCTCCTCACATATTCTCCGCTCATAAAGTCCTCTTTAACTACACTGGTCTCTTTGCTGTCCCTCAAAGACTCCAGAAATGCTTCTGCCATATATGCCCCCTCTCCCAGCCCCCTGCCAGATACCAGAGGTCTCTCTGACCTCTTTTGTGTTTTACTGTGCTCAAATATCACCTTTTCAGTGTGGGCCATTCTTGACTACTTTGCTCAAAATTGCAACACCCTCCTCAGAATGTCCCATTCTCCTTCCCTGCTTTTCCTCCACACTACTCATCACTATCTAATAAACTATTTATTTCACTTATTTGCTTATTGTGTGTCTCCCTCCACTAAAATGTAAGATGTCCCATTCTACTTCCCTGATTTTCCTCCATATTATTCATCATTATCTAATAAACTATTTATTTCACTTATTTGCTTATTGTGTGTCTCCCTCCACTAAAATGTAAGATCTGTGAATTCGGAGTTTTTTCTGTCTTATTCGCTGTTGTGCTTAGAACAGTACTTGGCACATAATAGGTACTCAATAAATATTTTTAAAAAGAATATGTGGTGGTTAATTATGAAACAGCTAGAAACTTGATGTGCAAGTTTTTCTTCAAGCCATCATTGAATTTCAGAGAGTTATCCCTATATAAGCAGTCTTATTTCTTGCCAGAAGAATATATTACCTATGTGATTCCCTAGTGCTGACATTGGCACCATCACACACACTGTTGAGTTTTGTTCAGTTCAGTAAGCCTCAGGAAGAACAGAAACAAGATCAAGAGTCAACAAGATGTTCATATATAGGCAATTTCTTTCCTTTCACTTACTTGAACTCTCATTTCTTCCCTTTATTTTGTTGAAATGGATTGGATTTGCAAGTTATGTCCCTAGGATATTTTTCCCATTTTTCTATGTCTGTAATTCTACTGATTATCATAGGTAGACAAGGAAATTGCTTGGGACACTGGTTGTCAGGCCAGAATGACTTGTGAAATCTAGATTTGTTGAATCTGAATTTTTTCAAGGTAGAGCTTTACAACCTTCAAGTTTGACAAATTTCCTAAATAGTTCTTAAGCAGCCAGCCCAGCACCTAGACATACACTGGTTTTGGAAAACATCACACTGTGGTCCTAATTCTCTCCTGTTAGAATTGCTACAGAATGAGACAATTGAAAATAGTTAGGGATGTTCCCAAGATCTACTCATGTTTGATTTTCTAGATAAATACGGGTGATTTTTAAGAAATCAGAAACTTTGTAAGACACCAAGCCCAGATTTCAAAAGGAATACTTCTTGAAGGAAGATCTAATGAAATAGAACACATAATTTTTGAGCAACTACCACAGCAGTCACAGTCCTAGTGATTTATATATGTTGTCTGTGTGGTCTGAAGTTCTGAAGTTTACCATCCCGTGAATACAAATGTGGCAGAGTGGCATGGGGATTTACAGGAAGAGAATGGTCCCCTTGCTTCTATTTTAGACTTCACTTGGTCACCCACACCCAGAAAATTGGTTGTTCTGTCCTAAATAGATTTCCTACATGCAGTTCCTCCAGTACCCTTTTCTTACCACCCTCTGGACCAGCAGAGAACAGAAAACATCTCAACCTATACATCCAGGCCAAACTCCCTATGGTCTTCTCCCCTTAGGACCTCTTCACTGAAAAACTTCTTCTTTCTCTTTCTTTCTCTGCCAATCAAATGCAGACATCCTCCAAAAGCAAATAGATTGTATAGGAGGGTTCATAGACAGGATGTCATCATCAACCTAAAAGTATGTGATTCTCACCTCTGGCCAGCAAGAACACTCCTTTTCATCCAATTTAATCCTATGAGGGGATACAGAAGGAAACTGAGGATCAGAGAGGTTGGGAACCTTGGTCAAGTTCACCAACAGAGAAGGATCCTAACCCAGGGAGAGCAAACTCTTAAACCTAGAATTATGTGATACTGCTCCCCTCCTCTGAAAAGAGATAGAAATTTGTTGAAATAAAAAGTGGTTAATAGGGCCTTTCCTTTCAACTTTAGCAGTACCTAGTCACCACCTATGATTATTTCCTCATGAACTGATTACTGGCACTCAAGATTCAACTTCCCTGCCTCTGGTCTGAGGAGGAGAAGTCTCTGGTTGAGCTGCTTCTGCTATGTGGCAGAACATGAAGTTGTGTAACTGTTTTTCTAAACAGAATCCCTCAGGGCCTTTCACTTATTTTGGGTCAACTGCCTCACTTCATCTGTTTACAGCGCTGCTTTTACCTGGAGTGTCTAGCCTGCTCATCTTGGTTTCTTCAACTGCCTTGCATTCAGTTTTCACTCTGCTGCTTAGTCTGGTTCAAAAAGAAAGCAGAAGAGACCAGACTTCTGCCTGCTTCCTGCTGCCTGCTGGGATTCTGCCATATTCTTCAATTCCCGTTTGGTCGTATCTATTGGGACCATGACTCTATTAGGGCCACCAGCCTTGCTCTGAATTTTCTTGTTTTCCTCTCTTATACACAATTAATCATGAATTGAGTCCTTACTGCTTTGAGCCTTATAGCATTTCTGTTTTTGCAGTCTGATACAGTCCAGTGCTTAGAGAGGCCAAGATCGTATTTCTTCTTTGGCCTTTTTAACAGCACAGACCAGAACATCACCTGAATTATCCCAAGCTTTGGAATTCTCTGATGGCTATAAAATAGAAGGCAAGACCACCACCCCACCAGGGAATAATTTAATAAATTTGAATTCCATTTGTACTTATATGACAAGGCTATGGATACAGTTATGCATTGTTTAACAACAGAGATGTTATGAGACATGCATCATTAGGCAATTTCATCATTGTGGGAACATCACAGAGTATGCTTACACAAACCTGGATGGTACACCCTACTACGCACCATACAATATAGTATAGCCTATACTATAGCTAGCTACAAACCTGTACAGCATGTTACTGTATTGAATACTGTAGGCAAGTGTAACACAATGGTAAGTATTTGTGTATCTAAATATAGAAAAGGTAATGTGTTGCACTACAATGTCACAATAGCTATGACCTCGGCAGCTGGAATTTTTCAGCTCCATTATAATCTTATGGGACCATTGTTGTTGGAGGGGAATTCAACATTTTTTGAAAAATGGCATTAAAAGATAAAATAGAAATATAAACTTCAATTCTCAATATAAGCTCCATCAAGTTAAGACACTTTTGTAATCAATGATATCAGTCATTTAGTTCATCCCTAAAGAACTGGGAATTTAACTGAAGAAAATGAATGCTCCAAAAAAAAAAAAGAAAAAAGAAAATGAATGCTCCTTAAATATTTTACTTAAATTTTTTTTTAATTAGGAAACTAAAAGAAGGCAGAAGGAGACAAGACAGGAGCGTAAGATGGATGCCAAATGATTTCTCATCAAAATTCTCACAAAATTGCCCTTGTTTGGTGAGAGGAATAAGCAGGAGCATTGTTATGGTAGAGAAGGACTCTCTGGTAAAGGTCTCCTGATTGTTTACTGCTAAAGCTTTGGATACTTTCTCAAAACACGCTCATAAGTAGATGTTATTTTTCCTTGGCCCTCCAGAAAGTCAAAAAGCAAACTGTCTTGAGCAGCCCACAAAACAGCTGCCATGATGTTTGCTCTTGACTAATCTACTTTTGCTTTGACTGGACCACTTCTACCTTTGGGTAGCCATGGCTTTGATTGTGCTCTGTCTTCAGGATTGTACTGGTAAAGCCATGTTTCATCTCTTGTTACAATTCTTCCAAGAAATGCTTGAGGATCTCAATCTCACTTGTTTAAAATTTGTATTGAAAGCTCTGCTCTTGTCTGCAGCTAATCTGGGTGCAATGGTCTTGGCACCCATCCAGTGGAAAGTTTGCTCAACTTTAATTTTTTAGACAGAATTGTGTAAGCTGAACTGACTGAGATGTCTATTGTATTTGCTATTGTTGTGCTATTAATCATCAGTCTTCTGCAATTAGGGCACAAACAAGGTGAATTTTTTCCTCACAAATTCATGTGGATGGTCTGCTGCTGCAGGCTTCATCTTCAACATTGTCTCATCCCTTCCTAAAATGAGGTATGCATTTGTAAACTGCTGATTTCTTTGGGACACTGCCCATAAACTTTTCATAAAGGAATAATAATTTCACCATTCTTCCACCCAAGTTTCATCATAAATTTGATGTTTGTTTTTGCTTCAATTTTAGCAGAACTCATGTTTCTCTGATAGAAGATCTTTTCAAACTGAGGTCTTATTTTTTTCAGTTCCTCAAACTAGATACTATTTAGGCATGTTATAACAAATTAGTACAAGTTTGTTTGGTTGCAGAAAATTGTCCATGCATAGTTTTTTCATAATATGCATTGTCATGAATTTTTAAGATCCCTCATATATACAGTTGACTGAAATGTCATCACCTGGAACATGACTATAATTCACTTTCCTTAAAAAGGACTCTGTTTTCTTTTATTTCCACTAAGTAATTAATTATACAGTTAAATTTTTATGTGTTGTATTATTCAGGGAGAAATGTGTTAGGATGAGCTAGGTTATACTGCAGTAACACAAACAGCAAAGGGTTAGTAGTTCTTAATAATAAATGTCTTTTGCCTGCTCATGTTACAGGTCCATCACAGGTTGGCTGGGAACTCTGCACCGTGCCTCCTTACTCATGGAAGCAAGCTGATGGAGTATCTACCATCTTGAATGTTGCTGGTAGTCACAGAGGAAAACAGGTGTATTAGTCTATTCTCATGCTGCTAATAAAGACATACCCAAGACTGGGTAATTTATAAAGTAAAGAGGTTTAACTGACTCACAGTTCCACATGGCTAGGGAGACCTCAGGAAACTTACAATCATGGCGGAAGGTGGCACAAACATGTCCTTCTTAACAGGATGGCAGGAGGGAGAAGTGCTGAGCCAAAGACGGAAAAGCCCCTTATAAAACCATCAGATCTTTTGAGAACTCACTCACCTTCAAGAGAACAGTAGCATGGGGGTAACCACCCCCATGATTCAATTACCTCCCACTGGGTCCCTCCCATAACATGTGAGGATTATGGGAACTACAAATTAAGATGAGATTTGGGTGGGAACACAGCCAAACCATATTTTCTGTCCCAGTCCCTCCCAGACCTCATGTCCTCACATTTCAAAACACAATCATGCCTTCCAAACAGTCCCCTAGAGTCTTAAATCTTTCCAGCATTAACGCAAAAGTCCAAATCCACAGTCTCATCTGAGACAAGGAAAGTCCCTTATACCTATGAGCCTGTAAAATCAAAAGCAAGTTAATTACTTCCAAGATACAATGAAGGGACAGGTGTTGGGTAAACACCTATACCAAATGGGAGAAATTGGCCAAAACAAAGGGGCTACAGGCCCCATGCAAGTGTAAAATCCAGTAGGGCAGTCATTAACCCTTAAAGTTCCAAAATGATCTTCTTTGACTCAAAGTCTCACACTGAGGTCACACTGATGCAAGAGGTGGGTTCCCAGGGCCTTAGGCAGCTCCATCCCTGTGGCTTTGCAGGGTACAGCCCCACTTCTGGCTGCTTTCATGGCTGGTGTTGAGTGTCTATGGTTTTTCTAGGTGCATGATGCAAGCTTTCAGTGGATCTACTATTCTGGGGCCTTGAGGACAGTGGCCCTCTTCTCACAGCTCCCTCTTCTCACAGCAGTGCCCCAGTGGGGATTCTGTGTAAGGGCTCCAATCCCACATTTCCCTTCCACACTGCCCTAGCAGAGGTTCTCCATGAAGGCTCCACTCCTGCAGCAAACTTCTGCCTGGACATCCAGGCATCTCCATACATCCCCTGGAATCTAGGCAGAGGTTCCCAAACCTCAATTCTTGTCTTCTGCACACCCACAGGACCAACAGTGGATGGAACCTGCCAAGACTTGGGGCTTGCAACCTCTGAAGCAATGGCCTGAGCTGTACCTTGGCCCCTTTTAGCCATGGCTGGAGCTGATGCAGGGCACCATGCCCCAAGGCTGCACAGAGCAGGAGGACACTAAGCCTGGTCCATGAAAGCATTTTTTCCCTCATAGGCCTCCAGGCCTGTGACAGGAGAGGCTGCCCTCAAAGTCTCTGACATGCCCTGGAGACATTTTCCCCATTGTGTTGGTGATTAACATTTGGCCACTTATTATTTAAGCACATTTCTGCAGCAGGCTTGAATTTCTCCCCAGAATATGGGTTTTTCTTTTCTATCACGTTGTCAGGCTGAAAATTTTCCAAACTTTTATGCTCTGTTTCCTCTTGAATGCTTTACACCTAGAAATTTCTTCTGACAGATACCCTAAATCATCTCTCACAAGTTCAAAGTTCCACAGATCTCTAGGGCAGGGGCAAAATGCACCAGTCTCTTGCATAGCAAGAGTGACTTTTACTCCAGTTTCCAACAAGTTCCCCATCTATATCTGAGGCCACCTCAGCCTGGACTTCATTGTCCATATCATTATCAGCATTTTGGTCAAAGCCATTCAACGAATCTCTAGAAAGTTCCAAACTTTCCCACATCTTCCTGTCTTCTGAGCCCTCCAAGTCTCTAGGAAGTTCCAAACTTTCCCACATTTTCCTGTGTTCTTCTTAGCCCTCAAACTGTTCCAACCTTTGCCTGTTACCCAGTTCCAAAGTCGCCTCCACATTTTGAGGTATCTTTACAAGAGCGCCCTACTCCCAGTACCAATTTATGGTATTAATCCATTCTCATGCTGCTAATAAAGACATACTTGAGACTGGGTAATTTATAAAGGAAACAGGTTTAATTGACTCACAGCTCTGCATGCCTAGGGAGGCCTCAGGAAATTTACAATTGTGGCAGAAGGGGAAGCAAACACATCTTTCTTCTCAGCTCAGACAGGATCTGAGCTGAGATGGCAGGAAGGAGAACTGCTGAGCAAAGGAGAGAAAAGCCCCTTATAAAACCATCAAATCTCCTGAGAGCTCATTTACTATCATGAGAACAGCAGCATGGACGTAACCGTGCCCATGATTCAATTACCTCCTAGTGGGTTCCTCCCACAACATGTGGGGATTATGGGAACTAGAATTCAAGATGACATTTGGGTAGGGACACAGCCAAACCATACCTAGAGGTTCTGACAAATGTGCCACGTTATTTAATTTTCCTTCTAAAAGTGTGACATGTTACTGCCATCTACATTTTATTACCCAAGGAAGTCACAAGGCCACAACTAACCTAAAGGGGTCAGGAAAGTGTACTTCTATCACGTGTCTGAAAGTGGAGAGAGCCAGAAATATTTGGTGAGAAGCACCAACAACAACTACTGGGGGTTTGGGTAAGAACTAATATCCAAACTGTGCCAAGAGTCTTAACACTGGTGAAAAAGTGAAAATGATTTTTTTTCAACTTAGAAATAAGTAGTAAACTCTGATTCAGCGAGCATCTAATTGCTTCTCAACTCCTTGAGAGTAGGGATTTTTTTTTTTTCTAAATTGTCTTATTGACATGACATAGCCTAGTAACTTTGGCATCAAACATACTCAACTTCATGATTTATTTGTTGTATGAACCCATTTTTTTTAGGGAGAAAATAGATCATGCCAGCCCCTACGCCCACAGTTGTACTCAGAGAATAATAGCTATTTTTTACTGAGTTCCCCTTGTACTCTAAGGCTATATGTTTTGGCTGAGACAAGCTAGTTGTTCAACATAACTGTTTTCTCATTTTCTCGGACACACAACTAGAATATAAACAGTCAAATATGGCCATGTAACTGAGTTCTAGAATTATAATGAGAGTGAGAGTGATGTGTACCATATCCAGGCTGGGCTACTTTATCCTTCTGTGCATGATTTTCAGTGCTCTTTCTCCTTCTATTAACCTAATGCAGGCAAACGTGGTGACTTCAAAAGCCACATGTGAGAATAGCAGGGCCAAGATAGAAGGAGCCTGGATCCTTAAATCATTGCTTTGAGAGAAAAGCCATTTGCCAATCAGAGACAGCCATTTTGGATTTATCTTGAATAAGAAAGAAACTTCTTTTTAAAAAAATTATAATTGAGATGGGGTCTTGCTGTGTTGACCCGGCTGGTCTCGAACTCCTGGCTTTAAGCAATCCTCCCATCTCAGCCCCCTAAAGTGCTGGGATTACAGGCATGAGCCACTACAACCAGCCCAAGAAAGAAACTTCTAACATGTGTGAGCCATTATTCTTTTACCTTGGACTACTAAAGGAGCCAACATTTCCTGAACTGATACAGATATCTTTGATGAGGTCTTGGTGAGCTGGTGGAGAGGTCCCCCCTCTTTTTTTTTTAGATGGAGTCTCACTCTGTTGCCCAGGCTGGAGTGCAGTAGTGCAATCTTGGCTCACTGCAACCTCCACCTCTTAGGTTCAAGCAATCCTTCTGCCTCAGCCTCCCCAGTAGCTGGGATTACAGGCACCCACCACCACACCTGGCTAATTTTTGTATTTTAGAAGACGGGGGTTTCACCATGTTGGTCAGGCTGGTCTTGAACTCCTGGCCTCAAATGAGCCACTCGCCTCAGCCTCCCAAAGTGCTGGGATTACAGGATTGAGTCACCTCTCCCAGCCGGAGAGGCCCTTTGAGGAGAAAATTTGCCCCCAGATTTTGGCAGAAGGTTCTATAAGAAAAGGGTGGTAGGAGAGGAAAGCAAGAAAAAAAGCAGGCGTCCTCTCTTAGAGATGGAGAGTCAGCTCCCGGCCAACTCCATCCCTGTGGAGAGAGCCGATACTATGGGGTGAGTAGTGGAATTCTTCTCATGTCTTAGCCTATCTGGAGAGCCAGTGCCCTAGTGGTGGTGAGCTGAGGGAAGTGTGCAAGTAGATGGCAGCCACATGAAATGTGAGAAATACCCTCAAATTTTCTCTGCCATATGCTGGAAATCCCCACTAGGGAGTTCCTCTGAGCTTTGGCATCGACTCCAGAAGATTCTATTAAATTATATGCAAATTATCAAACAGCATAACTAATAAACCCCAAAGCATGTTTTAACTAACAGGCAATGTCTGCAATATAAGAAAGCTAGGGATTAAGTGGGATGAGGCTGGGCAAGCATATCTGGGAACCTCTGTTTCAGTCCTGGCATGGCCAGCTTGATGTGCTAATTTGAGAAAGTCCTTGTAACTCTGTTTCCTAACTTCCTCTTTTCACTCCTTTGTTTCCTTAGAAGGCAAAAATCTAGAGATTCAGCTCATATGTGATCTCCTTGAAGGCTTCCCTGACCCCTGCCTAGGATAGATACCCTGGCAGATTGGACTCCTCCTCTATTTTGCCACAGGGGAGCATGCACTGCAGCACCATGGTTGTGTGTCTCCACAACTGGACTCAATATTCTCAGAAGGAGGAGCTATGTCTTACTGTTGAATCTCCAGCGTGTGGCCCAGGGTCTGGCTTACCAAAGGTGTGTTGAATATATTAGCAACCTATTTTGCTGGGAGGTTTGTGTCCCACATGAAAAAGGGATCATGGCAATCTTCATCTCAAAAGACAGGATCTGAGCTGGGACCTAAAGAAACGGAAGTGAAGAGGGGAGAGGAATTCCAAGTAGAGGACACCAAATGAGCAGGGCCCTCATAAGACTGGATCTGGAACAGCCTTCACAAGATAATGCAGTGACCTAGAAGCCCCTTGAATTTTTGGTGGCATAGACTTCTCTCAAGGTTTCTCCATGCAGACAATGGGAAGAGGCTGGTGGAAACAGAATTCTGCACTATTGACTGCAGGAATGCCCTGTCACCTCTGGAGCTGTCTGGCTGCTGTCCCCAGGCTTGGGCTATCGTCAGTAATGGCAATGTCCATGGAATAAAAATAAATAAATAAAGCTATATTAATATCTGCTCCATTAGAAACACAGGAAAATAAAGTAATATTGGCCAAATGGGAAAAGAAAAAATCAATAGGGAAAGAAATATTATTTTTAATCTTCTGAGAAGGTTTTTATAAACAACAGAAAGGGAAAAAAATACGAACCATGAAAAAGTATCAGCCATCATCCTTGTAACCTTTATTATCACTCATTCTACATCATCCTGAACTGCATGATAATTTAAAATTTCATTTTAATTTCAATGTATCATATAATTCAACCTAGCCTTTTACAGCATTTTTTTTGGCTGAAAACTTTTTAAATGTTTCAGAAGGAAATGTAGCCAGGGGAAGGGAGGGTAAGAAGTCCTGTAACCTTCTAGAGTAGTCATTTAATTTCTGAGATTAAAAGGTCTGTGCAAAAATATGATAACACTAAAAGCAACAAATATGAACAATGTGAATGTTCCTTAAAGACATGCCGAATCATATAGCGTGTCTATGGCTTGGCTTTCTCTCTGTGTCCTCTGTGTTTCCACTTGAATTCAAATTATTTTAGCCATTTTGGTTGTTTTAGGAGAATATGCCTTCATTTGTTTCACTATGGTATATTCTGAGACAATGGCTTCTCCTTTCTGAGACTTGTCCTGTAGATCCTATCTGAGAGATTACTAGAGTTTAGGAAAATACTCATATTCGTTAGCATTTATTGAGCAAATACTTTGTGTCAGACATCAAGTTAAGTGCCATAAATTCCCTTTGTTAATTAATTCTCGCTGCCTTGTGAGATGGAGGGTATTATTGTCCACATTTTATAGAAGAAAACTGAGGCTCAGATTGGTTGAGAAAATGCCCAAGGTCACATAGCTAGGAAGTAGTAGAGGAGTGAGCCCAAGCCTAGCAGATGCCCAAGACTGTGCTTTTAGACTCATTAAAAGGAGGGTAATTAATAAGAGGTACCAGAGGGTTCCTGGCTTCCTTTCTCACATTGCCCCACCCAGGATCCTGCATGAAAGATCCCACTCTACCACAGCTCTCTTGCTCTCGAGAGATCTATAATATTTTTCCAAGCAAATAACTTACTGAAAAGAAGCATCCGCTGTATGACCCCTGGCTTCAGAGCAAGGCTGGACCTTTAACACAGTCAGTAAGACCTTTACTTTACCTTACAGCCTCCATTTTGGATTTGGCCCTGGTCTTATGTTATCAGCTGTAGGCAAATCTCAGTTGGCCTCTGGTTGCTTTTGCCTGAGAGGTGTGCTGAGATCATCTGCCTATTTAATGTGTTCATTCATTCATTTATTCACTTAGTCACTACGTTAGGGCAGGTTAGATTATACCAAAGTAACAAACAACACCTCCTCTCCAGAGCTTAGGGGTATAAAATAGCAAAAATTTATTTTTCTATGATAAATTTTCAATACGAGGTATCAGAGGTCATTTGTTCAACTTCTACCTTGACATGTGCTTCCCTGAGATGCAGGGACGGGAACATGCAGCCAGGGGAAGGGAACATAATGAATCACACACTGTCTCTTAAGGGTTTCCTTTAGAAATGATGTGTGTTACTGCTACTTACATCTCATTGACTAAAGCAAATGAGATGACCAAATGTATCTGGAAAGATGTGAGCTGGAGTGTTTGTGAATAGCCTGGATGATGGCTATGGCACTGTTCTAGGCAATATGGATACTGTAAAAAGTCTTCATACTAGTGGAGAAGGTAGTTAACAAACCTGGGAATAAACACAGAGTACAATTTTATGCTGAATTAACTGCTGTGGAAAATTAAAGGAAGAGTAGAGAGTGATGGAGGCAATGGGTAGAGGAAACTTTTTTAGATAAGGTATTCAGGAAAGACCTCTCTGAGACATGGCATTTGAGCTAACAATTAAAGTGAAAAAAAAAGAGATACAAAAATATCTAGAAGAACATTTCGGGAAGAAGGAACAGCATGTGCAAAGGTCCTGAGGTGGGAATGGGCTTCACATGTTAGAAGGCCAGCAGGCTGAAGTGTAGTGAGGGAGGGGAGGGTGGCTGCTGCTGAGGGTAGGGAGGAGCCAGCTCACAGGAGCCTTGGCAGCTATGATAAGGACTGTGAATGTAATTGGTGGTTTTTTTTTTAACAAAGGAGCAGCATGACTTAATTTACACTTTTATAAAGATCTTTTGGCTGTTCCGAGAAGAAATTGTAGAGGGTGATGATATGAGTAGGGAGACCACTCAGGAGGCTACCATCAGCCTCGTGTCTTCTTCTCCTCCCTGGGAAACCAGAGACAAGTAGAGACCAGTGCCCATGGTTTGGACCTCTCTGTCCCTGAGAGCTGCTCTCCTTAGCCTTCACTGGGTCATCCACACAGGTGAGGCCTGGCTTGGGCAGATTCTTCCTAAGAGATGCATGTTTTCTGCCCATGGCTCAACCAATAATTTGCAAGGAAGAATGGCACTCAGACTCAAGATCTCATTCCCTAATTCAAGAATGGAGAAGACATGGCTGCAGGGTTGAGCTGAGGCCTGTGGAATCTGTTTATGGTGGCTGAGAGCCACCCCCACATTTGATTGCTGCAGTTTTTCTCTATAAACATAACTGAAAAATAAACTCCTCGCCTCGTAAACAAAATGTTATTTCAAAAACTCCTAAACACTAATTTGCTTAATGCTCCCCTGTTGCAGACCATGTGTTTTGCTTGATGCTTTGGCACAAGAGATGGGCAGAAGGTGCCTCATATATTTGTGTCAGGCTTCATCGGCAGTGGTGTTTGTCAGGAACTGCTTAAGTGACAGCCACAAAACACCTGATTGTATACCTAGAATTACCTATTAAGGAAGAGCAACTCATGTCTCTATCTGCCATCAGTGATTTGTATATTTCAGCTGAAATGGGCATGAAACAAATCTGGAAGGAAGTAGATATCCAAATTAGTTCTCCAACCAACCTTTCACAATGGAAACAGGCATCTTCTCTGAAAGTTTTTGTGTGGCAAGTTTACCTGGGGCATTTGTTTTCTGTCTCTATTCTTTCCTCTGCCCAAGTATAAGCACTTAGGCATAGTTAAGCCCAGGGGAAGGGGCCTAATTCAGGCATTGCAAATGATTTTCAATTAGAGAGGATTCATTTCTATTATTTCTGAATCTAGCCCAAATTGGCATTCAATCCTCAAGACCAGAAAAGAGAAATAGATAAACTTCCTTAACATTTGTCCAAAACCCAATTTGACATTTTCTTGGATTAAATTTGAATTATTATGGAAATTTAAAACAATGCATTAAAATAAAGGAGCATGAGAAAGACAGCACATTTATAACCCTGCCAGTTTTAGACGCATATTGTCATGAATGCAGTACCTATTTAGTTTTTAATTTTATTTTTTGAGTAGGTAATATTTTCACATGCTTTAAAAAATAAAAACAATATATGTATATATCTGCAGCAATAACAATTAGAGATAGTTTTTTTTTTAACTTCTGATTTTGGAATAACTTTAGATTGATAAGGAGTTGCAAAGATAGTACAGAGTTCCCAATATACCATTCACCCAGCTTCCCTTAAAATGAACATCTTACATAACCACAGTAAATCTGTCAAAATTAAGAAATTAACATTGGTACAATATACTGACTAAAGACTTTATTCAGATTTCACCAATTTTTCTACTCATGTCCTTTTGTCTGTTTCAAGATTCAATCCAGGATATCACATGGATTTAGCTGGCGTGTCTCTTTAGTTTTCTCTTATCTGTGACAAGTTTCTCAGTATTGTGGTGTTTGCTATGACCTTAACAGTTTTGAAGAATATTGGTCAGATATTCTGCAGAATGTCCTTCAATTGGGGTCTATCTTATGTTCTTTTTTTTTTTTTTTTGAGACGGAGTCTTGCTCTGTCGCCCAGGTCGGAGTGCAGTGGCATGATCTCGGCTCACTGCAAGCTCCGCCTCCCGGGTTCAAGCGATTCTCCTGCCTCAGCTTCCCGAGTAGCTGGGATTATGGGCACGCACCACCACACCCAGCTATTTTTTTTTTTTTTTTTTGTATTTTTAGTAGAGACGGGGTTTTACCATGTTGGCCAGAATGGTCTCCATCTCCTGACCTCGTGATCCGCCCGCCTTGGCCTCCCAAAGCGCTGGGATTACAGGCGTGAGACACCGCGCCCAGCCATGTTTTCTTATTATTAGACTGGGGTTGCAGTTTTTGGAAAAGTGTATCACAGAGATAAGGTGCCCCTCTGATTGCATCATATCAGGGGTATGTGACATGCTAAAGCTGATCACTTGGTTAAGGTGGTGTTTGTTGTCTTCTAGATTTCTCCAATGTAAAGTTATTATTTTTCCATTTCCATAATCTATGATTTGGACACAGGTCATTAACTGTAGCCTCACGCTTTACAAGAGGGAAATTCTACCTCCTGGAGAGGGGACTTTCTACATGTATTACTTGGAATTCTTCTGTAAGGAAAATTTATCCCTTAGTCTCTCGTTTATTTGTTCGATCATTTGTTTATATCAATATGGACTCGTGGATATTTACTTTATTATGGGGGTTATAATTCAATACTATTGTAAGTAATTTTCTAACCCAAATTGTTCCGTCTTTGGCCATTGGAAGCTCTTTTTCATTGGCTCCTTTGTCCTTCTGACTTCACCCCATCCTTTGATTTTTTTCTTCCTTTGATTGCTTTCTTGGTTTCTGAATCAATGAAATGCTCCAGGCTGATCTTGGAGTTTCCCTCCCTCAGCCATAGAATCGGCCATTTCTCCAAAGAGCCCTGGTTCTTTTCATTAAAGAATGGTATTTAGAGGCTGGGTGTGGTGGCTTATGCCCATAATCCCAGGACTTTGAGAGGCCGAGGCAGGAGGACTACCAGAGCCCAAGAGTTCGTGATCAACCTGGACAACAGAGGGAGACCCCATTTCTTAAAAAAAAAAAAAAAAATTAGCTGGGCATGGAGGTGGGCACCTGTAGTCCTGGCTACCGAGAAGGCTGAGGTGGGATCATTGCTTGAGCCCAGGAGGACAAGGCCGCAGTGAGCTGTGATCATGCCACTGCACTCCAGCTTAGGTGACAGAGTGAGACCATATCTCCAAAAAAAAAAAGGGGGACAGAGAATAATAAGAATAATAATATTTAGAAATCAAAATCTGGGCAGTGGTGTGCCTCTTGCTAGTGGGGTGTCACTGCTTCTGGTTCTACTCAGTGAACAGAGCTAGGAAACAACCCATGTATATATAAAAATCTACACCTCTCTCACTGTTAAAACACTCACACTCACATCTCTGATTCTAACCCACAGGAGAGATGGTCCAGAGTCCAACTCTGACTCTAGTCCACAGGATTTATTGTAGTCATCCACCCTTGCTTATTCTTAATTCCTTTCTATGATAGAAAATTGGCTCCCATTATCTACAATGCATTTATTTTGTTCAATCCAGCATATACTAAGTTTTAGGATTGCTAATCTATATGCCATGGGGAAATAAATTTATCAACTAGAATAGTAGCGTTTACACATAATTCCTTTGTCTCTGGCCTTAGTATACAGCTCACACACCACTTTCCAAATCTACTTAGGTCAGCTCCTTTTTACTCTCCCTTTTTCAGTGAAGTTATGTCATACATTGATAATACAGTTAGATTCATTTGTCTCAGTCTGCATTCCACCCTGGGATCCCTTAACTTTCTGCTTTAGTGTTTTTTAAATTAACATACAGTAAAGTTCATACTGTATCGTGTACAGTTCTGTGAGTTTTGACAAATGCCTCCACCACCCTACAACCCTACAGAGCTGACATGCCTTTGTGAGACGCTTTGTAATCATCCCTTCCCTCTCCCCCAAACAACCACTGATTTGTTTTCCATCCCTAGATTTTTTTTTTTAAATTTATTTATTATACTTTAAGTTTCAGGGTACATGTGTACAATGTGCAGGTTAGTTACATATGTATACATGTGCCACGCTGGTGCGCTGCACCCACTAACTCATCATCTAGCATTAGGTATATCTCCCAATGCTATCCCTCCCCCCTCCCCCAACCCCACAATAGTCCCCAGAGTATGATGTTCCCCTTCCTGTGTCCATGTGTTCTCACTGTTCAGTTCCCACCTATGAGTGAGAATATGCGGTGTCTGGTTTTTTGTTCTTGCGATAGTTTACTGAGAATGATGATTTCCAATTTCATCCATGTCCCTACAAAGGACATGAACTCATCATTTTTTATGGCTGCATAGTATTCCATGGTGTATATGTGCCACATTTTCTTAATCCAGTCTATCATTGTTGGACATTTGGGTTGGTTCCAAGTCTTTGCTATTGTGAATAATGCCGCAATAAACATACGTGTGCATGTGTCTTTATAGCAGCATGATTTATAGTCCTTTGGGTATATACCCAGTAATGGGATGGCTGGGTCAAATGGTATCTCTAGTTCTAGATCCCTGAGGAATCGCCACACTGACTTCCACAATGGTTGAACTAATTTACAGTCCCACCAACAGTGTAAAACTGTTCCTATTTCTCCACATCCTCTCCAGCACCTGTTCTTTCCTGACTTTTTAATGACTGCCATTCTAACTGGTGTGAGATGATATCTCATAGTGGTTTTGATTTGCATTTCTCTGATGGCCAGTGATGATGAGCATTTTTTCATGTGTTTTTTGGCTGCATAAATGTCTTCTTTTGAGAAGTGTCTGTTCATGTCCTTCGCCCACTTTTTGATGGGGTTGTTTGTTTTCTTCTTGTAAATTTGTTTGAGTTCATTGTAGATTCTGGATATTAGCCCTTTGTCAGATGAGTAGGTTGCGAAAATTTTCTCCCATGTTGTAGGTTGCCTGTTCACTCTGATGGTAGTTTCTTTTGCTGTGCAGAAGATCTTTAGTTTAATTAGATCCCATTTGTCAATTTTGGCTTTTGTTGCCATTGCTTTTGGTGTTTTGGACATGAAGTCCTTGCCCACGCCTATGTCCTGAATGGTAATGCCTAGGTTTTCTTCTAGGGTTTTTATGGTTTTAGGTCTAACATTTAAATCTTTAATCCATCTTGAATTGATTTTTGTATAAGGTGTAAGGAAGGGATCCAGTTTCAGCTTTCTACATATGGCTAGCCAGTTTTCCCAGCACCATTTATTAAATAGGGAATCCTTTCCCCATTGCTTGTTTTTGTCAGGTTTGTCAAATATCAGATAGTTGTAGGTATGCGGCGTTATTTCTGAGGGCTCTGTTCTGTTCCATTGATCTATATCTCTGTTTTGGTACCAGTACCATGCTGTTTTGGTTACTGTAGCCTTGTAGTATAGTTTGAAGTCAGGTAGTGTGATGCCTCCAGCTTTGTTCTTTTGGCTTAGGATTGACTTGGTGATGCGGGCTCTTTTTTGGTTCCATGTGAACTTTAAAGTAGTTTTTTCCAATTCTGTGAAGAAAGTCATTGGTAGCTTGATGGGGATGGCATTGAATCTGTAAATTACCTTGGGTAGTATGGCCATTTTCACGATATTGATTCTTCCTACCCATGAGCATGGAATGTTCTTCCATTTGTTTGTATCCTCTTTTATTTCCTTGAGCAGTGGTTTGTAGTTCTCCTTGAAGAGGTCCTTCACATCCCTTGTAAGTTGGATTCCTAGGTATTTTATTCTCTTTGAAGCAATTGTGAATGGGAGTTCACTCATGATTTGGCTCTCTGTGTGTCTGTTGTTGGTGTATAAGAATGCTTGTGATTTTTGTACATTGATTTTGTATCCTGAGACTTTGCTGAAGTTGCTTATCAGCTTAAGGAGATTTTGGGCTGAGACGATGGGGTTTTCTAGATAAACAATCATGTCGTCTGCAAACAGGGACAATTTGACTTCCTCTTTTCCTAATTGAATACCCTTTGTTTCCTTCTCCTGCCTGATTGCGCTGGCCAGAACTTCCAACACTATGTTGAATAGGAGTGGTGAGAGAGGGCATCCCTGTCTTCTGCCAGTTTTCAAAGGGAATGCTTCCAGTTTTTGCCCATTCAGTATGATATTGGCTGTGGGTTTGTCATAGATAGCTCTTATTATTTTGAAATACGTCCCATCAATACCTAATTTATTGAGAGTTTTTAGCATGAAGGGTTGTTGAATTTTGTCAAAGGCTTTTTCTGCATCTATTGAGATAATCATGTGGTTTTTGTCTTTGGCTCTGTTTATATGCTGGATTACATTTATTGATTTGCGTATATTGAACCAGCCTTGCATCCCAGGGATGAAGCCCACTTGATCATGGTGGATAAGCTTTTTGATGTGCTGCTGGATTCGGTTTGCCAGTATTTTATTGAGGATTTTTGCATCAATGTTCATCAAGGATATTGGTCTAAAATTCTCTTTTTTGATTGTGTCTCTGCCCGGCTTTGGTATCAGAATGATGCTGGCCTCATAAAATGAGTTAGGGAGGATTCCCTCTTTTTCTATTGATTGGAATAGTTTCAGAAGGAATGGTACCAGTTCCTCCTTGTACCTCTGGTAGAATTCGGCTGTGAATCCATCTGGTCCTGGACTCTTTTTGGTTGGTAAACTATTGATTATTGCCACAATTTCAGCTCCTGTTATTGGTCTATTCAGAGATTCAACTTCTTCCTGGTTTAGTCTTGGGAGAGTGTATGTGTCGAGGAATGTATCCATTTCTTCTAGATTTTCTAGTTTATTTGCGTAGAGGTGTTTGTAGTATTCTCTGATGGTAGTTTGTATGTCTGTGGGATCGGTGGTGATATCCCCTTTATCATTTTTTATTGTGTCTATTTGATTCTTCTCTCTTTTTTTCTTTATTAGTCTTGCTAGTGGTCTATCAATTTTGTTGATCCTTTCAAAAAACCAGCTCCTGGATTCATTGATTTTTTGAAGGGTTTTTTGTGTCTCTATTTCCTTCAGTTCTGCTCTGATTTTAGTTATTTCTTGCCTTCTGCTAGCTTTTGAATGTGTTTGCTCTTGCTTTTCTAGTTCTTTTAATTGTGATGTTAGGGTGTCAATTTTGGATCTTTCCTGCTTTCTCTTGTGGGCATTTAGTGCTACAAATTTCCCTCTACACACTGCTTTGAATGCGTCCCAGAGATTCTGGTATGTTGTGTCTTTGTTCTCGTTGGTTTCAAAGAACATCTTTATTTCTGCCTTCATTTCGTTATGTACCCAGTAGTCATTCAGGAGCAGGTTGTTCAGTTTCCATGTAGTTGAGCGGCTTTGAGTGAGATTCTTAATCCTGAGTTCTAGTTTGATTGCACTGTGGTCTGAGAGATAGTTTGTTATAATTTCTGTTCTTTTACATTTGCTGAGGAGAGCTTTACTTCCAACTATGTGGTCAATTTTGGAATAGGTGTGGTGTGGTGCTGAAAAAAATGTACATTCTGTTGATTTGGGGTGGAGAGTTCTGTAGATGTCTATTAGGTCCGCTTGGTGCAGAGCTGAGTTCAATTCCTGGGTATCCTTGTTGACTTTCTGTCTCGTTGATCTGTCTAATGTTGACAGTGGGGTGTTAAAGTCTCCCATTATTAATGTGTGGGAGTCTAAGTCTCTTTGTAGGTCACTCAGGACTTGCTTTATGAATCTGGGTGCTCCTGTATTGGGTGCATAGATATTTAGGATAGTTAGCTCTTCTTGTTGAATTGATCCCTTTACCATTATGTAATGGCCTTCTTTGTCTGTTTTGATCTTTGTTGGTTTAAAGACTGTTTTATCAGAGACTAGGATTGCAACCCCTGCCTTTTTTTGTTTTCCATTTGCTTGGTAGATCATCCTCCATCCTTTTATTTTGAGCCTATGTGTGTCTCTGCACATGAGATGGGTTTCCTGAATACAGCACACTGATGGGTCTTGACTCTTTATCCAACTTGCCAGTCTGTGTCTTTTAATTGGAGAATTTAGTCCATTTACATTTAAAGTTAATATTGTTATGTGTGAATTTGATCCTGGCATTATGATGTTAGCTGGTGAGTTTGCTCGTTAGTTGATGCAGTTTCTTCCTAGTCTCGATGGTCTTTACATTTTGGCATGATTTTGCAGCGGCTGGTACTGGTTGTTCCTTTCCATGTTTAGCGCTTCCTTCAGGAGCTCTTTTAGGGCAGGCCTGGTGGTGACAAAATCTCTCAGCATTTACTTGTCTGTAAAGTATTTTATTTCTCCTTCACTTATGAAGCTTAGTTTGGCTGGATATGAAATTCTGGGTTGAAAATTCTTTTCTTTAAGAATGTTGAATATTGGCCCCCACTCTCTTCTGGCTTGTAGGGTTTCTGCCGAGAGATCCGCTGTTAGTCTGATGGGCTTCCCTTTGAGGGTAACCCGACCTTTCTCTCTGGCTGCCCTTCACATTTTTTCCTTCATTTCAACTTTGGTGAATCTGACAATTATGTGTCTTGGAGTTGCTCTTCTCGAGGAGTATCTTTGTGGCGTTCTCTGTATTTCCTGAATCTGAACGTTGGCCTGCCTTGCTAGATTGGGGAAGTTCCTCTGGATAATATCCTGCAGAGTGTTTTCCAACTTGGTTCCATTCTCCCCATCACTTTCAGGTACACCAATCAGACGTAGATTTGGTCTTTTCACATAGTCCCATATTTCTTGGAGGCTTTGCTCATTTCTTTTTATTCGTTTTTCTCTAAACTTCCCTTCTCGCTTCATTTCATTCATTTCATCTTCCATTGCTGATACCCTTTCTTCCAGTTGATCGCAGCGGCTCCTGAGGCTTCTGCATTCTTCATGTAGTTCTCGAGCCTTGGTTTTCAGCTCCATCAGCTCCTTTAAGCACTTCTCTGTATTGGTTATTCTAGTTATACATTCTTCTAAATTTTTTTCAAAGTTTTCAACTTCTTTGCCTTTGGTTTGAATGTCCTCCCGTAGCTCAGAGTAATTTGATCATCTGAAACCTTCTTCTCTCAGCTCATCAAAGTCATTCTCCATCCAGCTTTGTTCCGTTGCTGGTGAGGAACTGCGTTCCTTTGGAGGAGGAGAGGCGCTCTGCGTTTTAGAGTTTCCAGTTTTTCTGTTCTGTTTTTTCCCCATCTTTGTGGTTTTATCTACTTTTGATCTTTGATGATGGTGATGTACAGATGGGTTTTTGGTGTGGATGTCCTTTCTGTTTGTTAGTTTTCCTTCTAACAGACAGGACCCTCAGCTGCAGGTCTGTTGGAATACCCTGCCGTGTGAGGTGTCAGTGTGCCCCTGCTGGGGGGTGCCTCCCAGTTAGGCTGCTCGGGGGTCAGGGGTCAGGGACCCACTTGAGGAGGCAGTCTGCCCATTCTCAGATCTCCAGCTGCGTGCTGGGAGAACCACTGCTCTCTTCAAAGCTGTCAGACAGGGACATTTAAGTCTGCAGAGGTTACCGCTGTCTTTTTGTTTGTCTGTGCCCTGCCCCCAGAGGTGGAGCCTACAGAGGCAGGCAGGCCTCCTTGAGCTGTGGTGGGCTCCACCCAGTTCGAGCTTCCGGGCTGCTTTGTTTACCTAAGCAAGCCTGGGCAATGGCGGGCTCCCCTCCCCCAGCCTCGCTGCCGCCTTGCAGTTTGATCTCAGACTGCTGTGCTAGCAATCAGCGAGACTCCGTGGGCGTAGGACCCTCCGAGCGAGGTGTGGGATATAGTCTCGTGGTGCGCCGTTTTTTAAGCCGGTCTGAAAAGCGCAATATTCGGGTGGGAGTGACCCGATTTTCCAGGTGCGTCCATCACCCCTTTCTTTGACTCGGAAAGGGAACTCCCTGACTCCTTGTGCTTCCCAGGCGAGGCAATGCCTCGCCCTGCTTCGGCTTGCGCACAGTGCGCACACCCACTGGCCTGCGCCCACTGTCTGGCACTCCCTAGTGAGATGAACCCGGTACCTCAGATGGAAATGCAGAAATCACCCGTCTTCTGCGTCGCTCACGCTGGGAACTGTAGACTGGAGCTGTTCCTATTCGGCCGTCTTGGCTCCTCCCCCCCATCCCTAGATTTTTATATATACTTATCACTTTTCTTCCATATTATTTTAAAATTCAGGTAGCTCCTTGTTACATGGACTTAGATCCATCATAGTCCACATCTTGTCAATAATGTGTTAAGGGACACCCATCTGCAGTAAGCAAACAGCATAATGCGGAGTCACATTGCTTGGGCACATGCCCGCTCCAATGTTTACTAACTGTAAGACTGTGATCAGGTTGCTTAACATTTAAATGTCTCACTTTCTTTTTTTCTAAAGTGAGGATAATAATAGCAATAATAATAAATAATAATACTTATTTTCTAAGATTGTTGTGTGAAAAAAAATGGGCTGACATATGTAAAGTTCTTATAATGGGGCCTAGAACATAGCAAGCACTCCAAAAATGTTAGTTGTTGTTATTATCATCATTATTATTACTAATCTATATGCTGAGTCACCTCATTAAAAATGAAAAAAAATCTTCTTTATTAAATATTTCATCCACTAAATTACAAGTAGAAAATCTGAGGGTTGGGGAATGGAAACTTTATTTTCCTTCCTGCTGATTGCTACTTCTCTTTTCTTTACAGTTTAACTCTTGCTCACTACACAGACAACACACAGATGCAAGAATTTATTCATGATTTAGTACTGTAATGGCAACCAACTTTCTTTTTACTTACTACTGCTAGCACATGGTAGATACTCAACACCTAATTGCAGCATCAATGAATGGGACCTCCCTGTGTGCTGGTGATCCTTGGAAATACAAAGCTGAATGAGTTCTGGTCCTTCAGTTGAGCAAGCAAGACAGGCAGGCAAGTGCTATGACCAATGCCTCTGCCTCCCAGAGGTATGTCTGGCTGGCTTTTCCTGAGTGGGAAGCAAAGTCGGCACTTGGAGACAGGTCTCCAAGGAGATTAGAGAAAGCGTCTATGTGGACAAGATGGGAAAAGGCATTGTAGGTGGGGACCTAACACATGTAAGCATATGGAAGCTTGAGAGGTCTCAGTATGTTCCATGAATGGCGAGTAGATGATGTGGCTGAGAGTGGAACGCTTGGTAATGGGAGGCAGGAGCTGAGGCCAGTGTGGAGGCCAGGCCAGATCTTGATGGTTCTTATGTTTTATGCTGAGGAGCTTACAATCTCTTCTCAGGGGAGTGGAAGCCATGGAAGACTTTTGAATAATGGAGTAGAAAGGTCAGGTCTGTGTTCAGTGGATCAATGAGGCTGCAATAGTGAAAATGGGTAAGAGGTGGCAGGCAGGCATTTCAGAAGTAGAGTGTCCAACTGGAAGCCATTGGAGATATCTAGGAGAGAGATGGCTGTGGTCTGAACTGGAACAGTGGGAGGGAGAATGGAAGGGAGGGGGTAGTGGAAAGACATTTTGATGGTAAATTTGACGGCATTTTGAGATTAATTATATACAGAAGACTGAGGACAGAAAGGAGTAGAGAAAGTGACAGCCAGCGTGTCTACTTAGGTAAACTACTGGATGGTATACTTATTCCTGGACATAAGACTTAGGCCTGGATGAATAGGTTTTGGGATGAAAGAATGAGTTCAGGTACACACAGACATAAACATTGCACACACCTATGCACATGTAATGCATACACACCATTCATCCACCAATAATTACTGACATGACAACAGGAAACATAGAATCAAAAATGACAAGGGAAGTTGTATGTGTGCTTGAAATGAACATAAGAAAAGGATGTATCTTCCCAGGAAAGTTCAGATTGAGGTTGGGGCCAGGAAAGTGACTAGGTGCATAGTCACTGGGTTGTGGGGTGACCTAGCCCTGCTTTGTCTTCAGTCACCTCTGATTGGCATAGCATTTTCCCTCTAATGATGACTTTCAATTGATAAAATAACATCCTTTGTGTATGGATATGACGCTGCTGCCCACTGCCCACAAGAGAGGCCCCCTGAGTCCCTTTCATCCTTTGGATGGTGAAATTTTCACAGCAGCAACTGATTGGGACTACAGGTACAGCCACAGACCATGGAGCAGAAGGAAACTGTGGACTGGTCCCCGTAAGAATGGAGGCCCTGTGACCTTCCCCTTGTTAGTGATGCTCTAATCAGTGGAACAAACCAGCAGCACCAGGCAGAAGTGCTTTATACTCCAGTCACTGCCTGTTTTGCTGAAATAACATGCCCTGTGATATAATGTTGAAATGAAATGTTAGATTCAGAAGAAAGGTCCTATGTTATGGAAAGGCAACTCAAAGCACAGAAGCAAAGAGAATGAGGCCTTCATCCTGACACCTTGAGGGGAACAGGGAGGCCTAGGCCTTTAACTGTGCTGGGCACCCCTTGCCTATCAATGTACATGTGCATTGCGGGGCAGATGGGAGTCGGTCTCACTCGGTGCTGCCAGGAATATAATAGGACGGCTTTATGTCAAGCAAAGAGGCACATTTATTGCATAGAATCTCTTGCTCCAAGCTGCGAATGGAAAAATCCTCTAATCTCACTCAATTTTAATCCTGGATTAAGGCAGATTTGTTAATAAAACACTAGTAAAATCAAGAATAGTTTGCAATTATCTTTAACGTCTATTACTTACATTACAATATATGGTTTTAAAAATACACAGATGAAGCAAAGTATGTTTTCAATTCCCTGCACCCTTGAAGAAAGAGTTCAGAAAAATTAAGAGTTCCGGTGATAAAGCCACTACTAGAAAACCCAAGGAAGAGAAGGAAAGAGAACAGAAGAGAATGGCTCAATTAGGATAATATTTTCAATTTTTATATAAACAGGTTAATCCAAATCAGAAAGATGACCCCAAACAGTGTTGGCGGAGGGTAATGCTGAGTTTGCTGGGATGAGTGTAGTGTATGTTGAACTCAGACACAGGTATGCTGACCCAGGCCCTCCCTCCCATCTAAAGGGAGAGCAGCATTATCTATGCAGATAAGTGTTTCCGAGGCAAGGCAGGGAGGATAAGCTGCCCTCATGCATCAGTTCCGTACATAGAACTCAGCCAGAAAGAGCATCACATGCTTGATGAATCTGTGAAACCCTGAAGGAGACAGCCATGGTTAGACTATTCTCAAACAGTCTGCAGCTCCAGGAAATGCCTCAAGTAGCTACCTCTTTTCTTATTTCTAGAAGCTGGGGTGCTATTTGTGCCAAGGCAGTGCCAACTGGATGGCAAAGAAGCCTTGCTTCCCTGAATCCCTGTGAGGGTGCCTGGGTAGCACTCATCTTTGAGAACTCATCACTTTCCAAACATGCTTTCTGTGTAAACTTCTCCACTTTCATTTCCACTTTGCTTTAAATTTAGTTGTGCCCATCTCTTCCTTCTCTGGAAGTGCCCCTGGAGCTTCTGTCTTCACTGAGGACTGGTGTGGGAGGTGGGGAGGGTGCAGAGAAACGGCTATTCACAGCCATCCACAAGCGGAACCCAGCTCACATACATGTTTTGTTTGTTAGCACAGAGTTAGCTCAGACAACGTTGGGGGGAAAAGAATACACTTCACATAACAACCCAGATTTATGGCTCCTGAAAAATTTGAGAGCTGTGGTAACCCTGGGCTGCGTTTCCACTGGGCAGCAATCTGCAGAAGGGCAGAGGCAGCTTCTTGTTGGATCAGGTGGTGTGCACACACTTTGCACTGTCTGGCCATGCCACTCCCTGCTTACCACTCATCACTGAGGTGAGTGTCAATGTCACTGAATGCTCTCCTAGTGCTGTTGTTCACCTTATAGAAAGAAGAAATGAACTCTTTCTTGTTCCCATGTTTCTCTCAAGGAAATAATAGACCACTAAGGCTGTATGCATGTCTCTTACCATGCTTCACTCATTTATGGTACTCGTCTGGCCCCTGTCAACATCTGTTTTTGTAATTCCTACAAGTCTAGGCATGTACATGGCTGAGAACCTGAGCTCTTTGGGAATTAGCAATACCAACCATAAGAGCACACATACTTCTCTTGACTCAAACTGCCAAGTTTCAGTTAGGAGCCATCACTTTATCCCATCTCTCCATTTCCATCACCAGCTCTAGCAGTTGGCTCTCTTTTCAGAACCATTTTCACTAGAAAAAAAAAATCACTTCTTGAGGGTTATCATGGCCTGGACTTGGAGTAGAGCCGGACTGTGGACTGTGATTTGTGGGCAGCAGCTGGGCTCACTCATGGGCTTGGTGACTGGCCGCTGCCACCTTCATCCAGAACAGGATTCACTGTTACAGAAACTGTATCTCAAATTTCACGAGAAGCCATGGAACTTTGGGGACGCTAACTTGTCCAAATCATAAATGTTAAATCCACAAATCTCCTTTATATAATTTTGGGGAATAATTTCCTACAATTCAGGCATAGCTTAGGAAGTCCAGAACACCTAGAAATTCTATACAAAATTTCATGTTACTAAGAGGATGTGTTTTTTTGCTGATGAGATGGTTGATAACTTTCATTAGACTCTCAGAATACTCTATATTTCAAAAGAGTTAATGAATGTTAGTGTTTTGTGTGTATTTTCACCCTTTCTTGTTCCCCCAAATTTAAGGTTACTTGCAAAATTGTCTACAACATTAAAGTTGTAATAAATTAGAGCCATGTATTAAAAATGAGGGCTGGTTCAACTGATATGGCTGGTTGGAATAAAAACTCCTTACCTCTCACCCTGTCATATGTCTGTCTGTATCATTCATTATTCATGACCACTGGGGTGCTGGTGCATCCAGGCTGTGGCTCCCAGCAGGTTCTTAAGGGAGAAATGACTTTGGGAAGGCCCCACATCTCTGGGCCATATCAGAGAGAGGAGAATGAGTTGACAATTCTTTCTCAGAAGCAAAACTGGGAAATCGTGCGTATGCACAGGTATAGGTATGTTTATGTGTGTGTACAATTGTAATTAGGTGTGTGGAAGAGTATATATATGAGTTTGAAAATATGATTGCGTGTATATGGTAATGTGCACACAACTACATCAACTACATATGTGGATGAGCTTTATTATGTGTTTGTGTTCAGGTTTGAGTGTACTTACAGGTGTGTCACAGTCCATAAATATACAGAATATTGAGGGTGAGAAAGGGTAAGGCCTAGGAGAAGCATCATAAGTAAAGAGAGGAGAGAAAAATTCCCTGGAAATATTTTTAAAGAAATGAGGAGCATAAACAATATTTCAAGATATCGTCAATGAGCTAAATATATGTGTGAGTTCTATTGGTGATAAAGTAACAGGTACTGCTAATACTACTATAGTTTGTTCCCTACCTTAATAATAGAAGGGAACACTAAATTTCAGTTTCAGCTAGTAAAAATGAAGATGTAAAATTTCCCATTAAAATTTATGAACCCTCTGAAATATATTCACAGCCCTTGTTTAAGTGCCCATTGACCCTGTGTTAAGAAACCCTGATTGAGACAGTCACGACTAACATTTTAAAGGAAAATATAGAATAGAATGGAAAACATCAGAAAATATTTACATAGGAAGAAGAAGTATTACATGAATATATTGTTTCAATTATTAGGTGGTTGGTGTGTGTGTGTGTGCGCGTGTGTTGGGTCATGATGTGAAAATAGGCAAAACAGGAAAACATTATGCCAGGGAAATAAATCCTAAACCTCTTGGAATGTCAGCAACTACAGGAGGCACCTGACTGGGGTTCAGTTTTAGAAAGTCTTTTTCTGATAGCTGTAAGAAGGATGGACCAGAGTCAGGTGAGGCAGAAGGAAGGCAGCAGTTAAGAGCTTACTTACCATGGAATGAGGGGAAAAGGAGAGTATCTGTGATGGCCAAAACCAAGGTGGGGTTGGAGCAGTTCCAAGGCTACCAAGGAGGTAGAATCTAGGGATTTGGTGACTCATTGGATGTGACTGGTTTTAGGAGATTGGCTAGGGTGAAAATTCAAAGAACTCTTAATAACTCTGTGTCCTAGGAAGCCCCATTAAGGGAGGGAATCAAGATTTAGCAGGTGGAGATGTCTACAAGAATTTTGAATATCTTCTAGATTATTAAATTGAGGGATTTCCTAACTTCTTCATGCATTGGACAAGAATCTTCCTGAGCCTCCACGGAAGGGACAATAGCAATTGCCCCCCTTCACCTGCTCTACGCACTCTGGAGCCTCTGCACTTGGAGCCTCTTCCGGCTGTTTCTTTGGGCTGGGTGCCCTAGGACAGGCAGAGTAGGCTTTCAGAGGTAAGTTTGTGGTTAGTACTTTAGCTCTGGTCAGTTGACCATAAATAGATTTTTATACTTGCACATAAACTACTCTGATTGCCCACACATACCTGTAAGTGGATTTGCACGTGTGCGTGCACGCACACACACACACATGCACACACACCTCAAAAAGCAATTTCCCCCCCAGAACATCAAGAAAGTTCCCCTTTCCACTTAAATGCTTTTCCAAATAGTCTTATTTTATTTTTTTTTATTTATTTCTCTGCCATATCCTTTTCAATCTGGAAAGTGACTTGGCCTCTTTTCCCCCATCTATTTTCTGCCTTCCTGCTATTCAGTTTAGGCATGAAACACAGAACTAGATTGAAAGCATTCAATGGCTATTCAATCGGAGAAGAAAAGAGCCCCTTGGAGCTTTATTAGATATGAAGATCCACAATAAAAATCAATTTCTGCCTCTTTATGCAGTTTAAATGACAAAGCACCCACCCATTCTGCGGCCATTGTGCTGGGGAAATGTAATTCAGTCCCCGAGCTGGGCCCAGAGCACCGCGGACTCCCTGACCTGCACTGACAGATTCCAATATGATACAGACCTTCGGAGATAATGACAGCCACTTCATCTCACTGCAAGAAAAAAGTTATCTGATATCTTTGAGGGTTAAAAGGCTATGTGGGCAGCATTTTCAATAACCCACTAAATCAGCATCTTAAAAAATACCTAAGCTTTGTTCCTTTAAAAAAAATTTGCCCCTTACTCCTAACTCCTTTTCTGAGCCCCATCTGATAGTGTCACAAGTGTCTCCTGCCAAATCTATTGAGCCTTCCCTTCCTTGCCACAGAAGGGGACCCTCCTAGATAATTAGTCCAAGGGGAAACAAGGTGAGAAAAACGTCTTTATTCCTCTGAGGAATACAGATCCTCAGGTCTCCAGGTCCTGATGAAATGAATGGTATGAAACTAGTGAAAAGAAAAAAACCGGTCCCCAAATCTGTCCTAACCTGTTTAAAATGTTACTATAAAAAGTTTTTTTATATAGAAATGACACACAGTCCCTTTAATAGGAAGAAGTTTGTATTAGAAGAAAGTTTGTGATGGAGTTGTTGCCAAGGGAACCAGTGAAAACCCTGTCTTTGGTCTTTAATTTTCATGGGTTGAAATCATCTTGATAGAAGAGAAGAAAGTCAAGAAATGAGTTGTGTATTTCCCCTTTCATTTTAAACGGTTAACTTGCAGGAAAACGTATTTGGAAAATAAACCTTTGGAAATAGTGGTTTATGCTCTGAGACTTATAGAGAAACACTTACGTGAACTTCATTCTCTCACTACTACTGAGGAGGAAGGAGGGTAAAGAGATGGTGGAAAGACAACGTATATTGCTCTCTGGTCTCTAGGAAGGACTCAGAGAATGAAAGAGCTACAGGATATTAAATAAGGACCGTGGAAAGGACTACGGACTCTTAAGTTGAGAAAAGAGCATTATGTTACAAAACCACCTGGTCACGGTCTATAAATAACTTTAGGAATGCGAATGAGTCAAAACAATGATGCATTGCTGGGGTAGCAGTGGGGCATAGTGGGAGTGGGGTCGTATTCAAAGAGCTCTATGTGAGTTTAGGAAAGCTTCTTCATTACCTGGGCCTTAACTCCTTAATCAATGAACTACGAAGTCTCTGCAAAATGATTTTTGTAGTCCTTTTCATCATCCTCCAAATCTATGATTTGTTCCCCACATTTACAAAGTTATTTGCTATAGAGATACTATCTTTCAGTTTTGCATTTTAAAAATGCTTTGCAACCAACTGTTCTAACAAAGTGTTCTTTAAAAAATAAGGTGGAAAATCTCTATTTAGCTCCATAGCTGGGGAAACATGGCACTGCTGCTCAGACCTGACATGGCAAATAGGTTTCATCCTGTATGCCAACTCTGTCTGGCAGTGGCTATATAGAGCAGTGCCATCTGATAAAAATGCCAGACATAAAAGTGAGCCACATATGTAATTTTAAATTTTGTGTATGCTACATTTTTAAAAAGGTAGAAAGAAACTAGTACAATTAATTTTTAAAGTATACTATATTTAACTCAATATATCTAAACTACCATCATCTCAACATATAATCACAATTTTAAAACTTTAATGAAATATTTTACTTCCTTTGTTTTTGAATGAAGTCTTCAAAACCCAGTATATTTCACAGCTCTACTTAGATTAGCCACATTTCAAGTGTTCAATAACCACATGTGGCTTGTGGCCACCAAATTGGAGAGAGTATGTCTAGAGCCTTGTGCTGGGAAAGGTTGTGAGGTTGTCCTATGGGCAGCCAGAAAGAGTTCTTTGCTTGATTAGTAATGTCTGCAATGAATAAGCTTGGGGACTGCACCTGTAAGTATGCTATGCTAACTTTGTCAGTCTGTTTAGGTCACAGCCAGAACTCAGGCTCCCAGTTTACTTTAATTTCAAATTTGAGTCTTTGTGTTGACATGACATCAGAAAGATCTCAGCTTTTGCTGAAAAAAAAAATAATAGCTTTAGGAATCTGGGGTATTGATGTAGGTTTTTCTCAGCAGATACAAATTTCTATCTTTGGAGGAAAGTTTCTGTGTACTAAAAGAATCCCTCCTAGGAACTGAAGTCCATGTTTCTTCCCTGTGGTTTGACTTAGCAGAATACTTCATTGCAAGAACAAATAGCAAACACCAATCTACCCTTCAGTTGTATATTTGGAAGTTCAGGTGGAAGAAAGGCAGACTTAGGATGTAAACTTATTCTTGCTGACAGCTCTTAAATTTGTCATTGTGGCATATTGTTCTAAACTAGAGAGTTTTAAAGGAATTAATCAGATCCTTTTTTTAAAAAGAGATACATTTTTAGTAATCAAAGCATCTTCCCAGTTTTCTAAACCTTTATCTGAATCTGCGACTATATAATCTTTCCCTTTTTCAGAAGTGTTGGGGTTAATTTGTGCCTGTTTTATTATAATAAAGGACAGCAGGAACTAATTTTTCAAAATATGAGTAGTTATTATCTTTCTTCTGGTTTATCTTTGAGGTCTCTTTGTCTTTGAGGAAAGTTATGGAATAATCTTTTACATTAAAAAACATTTATCTTCCCAACTCCAGTTTACTAGAAATAATGGAGAGTGTTTGTCTTCAAGTTCAAGAAGACCAACAGAATGAGACTGGAAGGGCAGCCAGGATAATTTAGTAGAATCAGCCTTTTTAGGATTTTATACTGTTTCTAGGAAGTTCAGTCTATACTGATTCTTATTTTATGGAATGGCTATTTTCTAGGGAAATGATCTTCAAATTTTTTGAGTAATGATATACATAGTTTATTCACTATAGAATATTTCTTGGATAGACATCCTAAAACCTAATGACTCTTGCTTCTTTTGTGGCCTTGAGGAAATTATCTGGTCATACTTGTCCCATTGTAATTCAACTGAGTTAGGATTTGAAAAGTATTAATAAAAATGTTAGTGAAGCACTTGAAACCTGTTGAAGAAAGATAAATAACAAGATGAGATAATTCTTGATTAATTATTTTTGATTACTCTCTTAATTTGGAATCTAAGGTTCTTGAACTGGACTCATCCCAGTTTTAGTATTTGGAGAGATCAAATACTTAAACGCACCTATGTGTTCACAGAAAGCTTTTTGGAGAATGATAAAGCCTAAAGAGCTCTATCATTAAATCAGATCCTATTAGACAAAGTATTAAGCAAAGGCTGATCAAATTGCTCATACGGTTCATATATGATCTCACCTTCCACCCTAAGTAGTAGAGCAAGGTTGGCTGACTCCATGGAGCAATGAATTAGGGGAAGAATGCTTTTGCCACATCTCAAAAGATCACCAACTGACACTGGAAAGGGCTCTCAACAGAAAGATCCCTGCTTTTGTTTACCTCACAGGTTGTGCGGTGGAAGAGAGAGGACTTACTTGGCCAAGCTCTGGAAATAGAAGCCCTATCTATGGATGCTGTGACATAAACCTAACTTTGGTTGGACTGGCATTAGTCCAGCTTCAGGAGATGAATTGTTATTGTTTAAGCCAATCGTCAGCTTTCAGGCGGGCATGTGAACGTGTTCTAGACAAAGAAACATAAAGAGAAACATAAAGAGAAAACTAGGGGATTTCAAGAAGGATTTCCCTCCCCTATAAAAAGTGAAAGCCCACAGTGAAAAATCCCCTGTCCCACACTTGCCTGCTTCCTGCTTGGCAGTTTATGTTAAACCAATCCTTCTCAAAGCGTGGTCCCCACTTTGAGAACCACTTGGGTACTTGCTAAAAATGCAAATTCTCAAAAGTTAACATAGCAGGCCTGAGACTAATTTCCTTAGAAGGCCCTACTTGAGAAGTTAGCACTGTTTGGTATCTAGATTTCACCCTCTAATCAGAGCGACCCACTGTGCCTAAAATGTACAAACAATGCCATTTATGCTGAACACCTACTTTCCTTCTGGGAGTCTGACATTTTGGTATATGCTAGGCAGAGGATGCCTATGTGACTAGCCCCTAGTGAAAATCTTGGTCACTGAGTCTCTAATGAGCTTCCCTAGTAGATAACATTTTACATGTGTTGTCACAGCTGATTGCTGGAGAAATTAAATGCATCCTGTGTGACGCCACTGGGAAAGAACTCTTGGAAGCTTATGCCTGGTTTTCTCTAGGCTTTGCTCCATGTGCCTTTTCCTTTTTTGCTTTACATCCTCTTCCTGTGATAAATCTTAGCCGCGATAACTGGAAAAAACTAAATCCTCAGTTAACCCTCACCCCCCACCAGACCTACTCAGTCATGAGCTCTGCAGGTGGAACCAACTACTGCGTTTTAACAAGTCTTCTAGGTTATTCTGATACACATTGAAGTTTCAGAGCCTCTGGTAAGGCAGTGATGCTTGCAGCTACTGCAAACTTCTTGGCCCTTGACCTCATGACCCCAGTAGTGATGACAGCACTAAGTGACTTAGAGCCTGAATCCTTATGCTTCTGAATTAACCAATTCAGGACTTATCTACCTTTAGATTTCTTGAATGAGAGAATAATATATTATTGGCTGGGTGCAGTGGCTCACGCCTGTAATCCCAACACTTTGGGAGGCTGAAGCGGGCAGATCACCTGAGGTCAGGAGTTGGAAACCAGCCTGGCCACCATGGTGAAACCCTGTCTCTACTAAAAATATACAAAAACAATTAGCCAAAGGTGATGGTGGGCACCTTTAATCCCAGCTACTCGGGAGGCTGAGGCAGGAGAATCACTTGAACCTGGAGGCAGAGGTTGCAGTGAGCTGAGATTGCACCATTGCACTCCAGCCTAGGTGACAAGAGCAAGACTCCCATCTCAAATAAATAAATAAATAAAGTAAAAATTAAAATTAAAATTAAAAAGAATGTATTGTCTAACAACTTATTAAATTAAAATAAAATTCGCAGCAAGTTCTTTGACACTGCTCCAATCAAGAGGAGACCCTTGTGCAGGCCTCTTGAATCTGGGCTTGCCTGTGTCTGCTTCAGCCCATAGAACAGGGTGGAAGTGATGCACTTTCAGTCCTAGGCCCAACTTTTAAAAGGACTGTCAGTTTTTGCTTCCTTCCTCCTGGAGCCCTGAGCCAACATGAAAGAAGCTCAACTGCCCCCAATGCCACTGCACTGCTAAGAAGCTTAAGCTAGCCACGTGGAAATGTGGTCAAAAATAGAGTCTTACATGGCCAGTCCCTAGTTCCAGCCCCTTGCCCTTTGAGACCTCCTAGGGGGAACTCAGGGGTTGGGCAAACTATGACCTACAGGCCAAAGCTGGTCAATTCCTTATTTTTGTATGTTTTTTGAGCTATGGGTGGTTTTTAGATGTTTAAATTGTTTGGACAAAATCAAATGAAAAATATTTTGTGACATGAAAATTTTATGAAATTCATGTTTCAGAGTCTATAAATAAAATGTTTTGAACACTCACTTGTTTGCATATTTTCTCTGGCTGCTTTCATACCAGAGCAGCACAGTTGAGTAGTTGTGATAGAAACCATGTGACCAGCAAGCTCAAAATATTTACTATCCAGTCCTTAAAAGAAAAAGTTTATTGACCCTTGTTATAATTGATTGACCTGCTTTACTCCACTTTCTCAAGAATAGAAAAAAGACCATATGCTTCCAGATTTTCCAGTTATTTATGTACATATTGTTGGGCTCTTATAAGCAGGAGGTGCAGTATCTCTTTCCTAAGACCATTGTCCCTTCCCCAGAATTATCCAAAAACCCTGAAGAGTAAGTCTTACTTCTAATTTCCAGACAGAGAGGAATTCAGTAGTCCACCTATTGCTTCATCTCTGCCACACTGTATTACCAGGTAAAAGGGCCGCACTGGTGGATCCTTGTCCTCTGCTACCCTGAGGCTTTTACAGGTACAGATACCAGACAGGCCAGGGTGGTGAGCTCTCCATGTCACATATACTTGGCTAAGCTTCACTTTTAGAGCAAAGTTGTTAGCTGGGATGGCTGGGTCATAGCCCAGCTGTCACAGCAGCCCTTTCCCCTCAACCTGTAGGCTCATATGTGACCTGGATCACTAGACCAGATGCCCCTTCTTCACACTAAGTTCCTCTCTAGGAACTTTGGTGTTATTTTCTGTCCATAGACGTTGGCCAGAATCACTGTCATCCATCCCCACAGTATACCTTAACTGTGAACCTTACTTCCCAGAAATCCCTTGGGTTCCTCATATGGATTTGCCTGGACTTCCTTCAGAGCTCTGGACAGATTTTGCCAAACTATGTGGAGGAAGAAAGGTCTTCTTATATTTTCCACCAAAGTAAGAGAGGAAGGCTTCCTAAGTGACTCTTATCAGAACAAAAGAAATCTGCTTTAATGTAATGTGTCCCTCTCCAAGACACGAAATTAGCTGATACAATTTTTACCTACAGCAAAATGAAATTGGCAGCAAGTTCTGTGACACTGCTCCAATAAAGAGTGAAAGAGACCTTTGGTGCACACCCCTCAAATCTGGGCTTGCCTGTGTCTGCTTCAACCCATAGAACAGGGTGAAAGTGATGCACTGCCAGTCCCAGGCCCAACTTTTAAAAGGACTGTCAGTTTTGGCTTCCTTTCTCATGGAGCCCTGAGCCACCATGAAAGATGCTCAACTGCCCCAATGCTACTATAATGTGAGAAAGCTTAAGCTAGCCATGTGGAAAGGTGGTGTGGAAATAGGGAGATTCTTCTATGGCTAGTCTCTAGTTGCAACCTCTGGCCCCTTGAGTCCTCCTAGCTGAGACTCCAGAAATCATGGAGCAGAGATGAGCATTTCCCATTTTAACTTGTCCAAATTTCTTACCTGCAGAATCATGGCTGCAATAATAAAATATTTGTTTTAAGCAACTACATTTCTGGACATTTATTATGCAGCAATAGATGCCATAGAACCTACTGTGTTGCTAAATTTTAACACTGATTAAAGATAAGCTAAAATCTGCCTAAAGAGAAATTTCCTTCAAATAAGGCCTGTAGTTTAGTTAACAGTGTTGTACCAGGTTAATTTCCTAGTTTTAATAATTGTGTTATGGTTATATATAATTGTTACATAAATTGTTAGGGGAAGCTGGATGAAGCATATAAACTCTCTGAACTGTTTTTGCAGCTTCTCTGTAAGTCTAAAATTATTTCATAATAAAAAGTAACCCAAGAAGTCTTACTTTATACCTCTTCTTTTTTTCTCTGAGGCAGCATCTGCAAAATGTAAGCCTTCTGATGGAAAATTGTCATCTGCTTAAATCTCCCAGAAGCTTTGGAGTGGTATGGCTATAATATGAAAAATGTAGATCTCTAAATTTCCACCTAGGTTGTATTCATCTTAGAACACTGCACCCAGAGTTTGGACAGAACTTCTGAAACTTCTCTACAAGGCTCTCAGTGGCCCTGTCTAAAGGGACAGTAAACAAGATGAGAGGAAAACCTAAATGGGAGTCACTTATCCTGTAAAAGATACAGCAACCAGAACAACCAGTCCCATCAGTTATGCAATTACACCTACAGAATGTCTTGCAACACAACTCTTCCTTCTTTGCTCAGAACATCACTTTGCTTGCATCAATCCTCATCTTAAAACACAATTAACCCAATACTTACTTTCTTCTGACATCTCACCCAAAGAACTTCCAAGCCCAACCCAAACATAATAAAAATTGTGCACTCAATTTTCCTAATGAAATACCATTTCTGAATTGCCTATGTGATATTCCTCATCGCTGGAGTAAGCCAATAAGACTTAGTTTACTTATTGTGTAACAAGTTGCCTGCCTGTCTTCCTTCCTTCCTTCTTTCCTTCCTTCCTTTCCTTCCTCTCTCTTTTTCCTTCCTTCCTTCCTTCCCTCCCTCCCTCTCTCTTCCTCTCCTCCTCTCCTTTCTTTCTTTTTTCTTTCTCTCTCTCCCTCCCTCCGCCCCTCCCTTCCTTCCTTTCTATCTTTCTTTCTTTCTCTTTCCTTCCTTCTTTCTTTCCTGGAGACTCGCTCTGTCACCCAGACTGGAATGCAATGGCATGATCTCGACTCACTACTGCAACCTCTACCTCCCAGGTTCAAGCAATTCTCCTGCCTCAGCCTCCCAAATAGCTGGGATTACAGGTGTGCACCACCATGCCCAGCTAATTTTTCTATTTTTTAGTAGAGATGGGATTTCACCATGTTGGCCAGGCTGGTCTCAAACTCCTAACCTCAGGCGATCCACCCACCTCAGCCTCCCAAAGTGTTGGGATTACAGGTGTTAGCCACCATGCCTGGCCACAAGTTTCTTTCTTGAGGAAGGGCCTTTCTACAAAGAAGAGTGAGGGAGGTTGCAATTGAAGCTCCACTGTATCGAGGGATTTTTAGGTGGGTTGCGGAGAGAAATTTTTCTTGTAAAAAGAACAGATTTAAATTTGAAGCAGGACAAAAAGGCTGTATGTCATTATTCATTTCATTTTTCATCTAAATGTGCCAAGTGCTGAGGATTTAAAGGATAAAATGATATCTCTTTTTGTGATGTAAGAGACAGATGTATAAGCAGTCAGGGACAAACAGTGATGGCCACAAGGACAGAAGAAAGTGCATGGGCCTTGGGAGCAGGAGGCTGGGGAAGCTGTCTTTGCCTGGCATCTTATCAGTGCCACTTCCTTGTCCTCACTCAGTCTGCTGCAGCCACACTGGCCTCTTCACTGTTCTTCCAACATGCCAAGCTTGGGCTATACCTCAGGGCCTTTGTACTGGCTGTTTTCTCAGTCTGGAACATTCTACTCCCCAAGTGTTCATGCAGTTCATTTCCTCACTTGCTTCAGCTTACATGTCACCTGGCTAAAATTTCAACTTTCCCCATGCTTCATTCCCTTTCTCTTCAGACTTTAATATTTTTCTAGCACATATTTTACTTGTCTTGTTTACTGGCATTTTCCCCCAGTAGAATATAAACTTAATAGGGGCATGAAATTTATCTGTTTTGTTTACCATGGTATCCCCAGAGCTTGGAACAGTGCTTTGCTCTAGTAAGTGCTCAATTAATGTTGTTGAATGAATAAATGAGACAGTGAGGTCTTTCCTGACTTCCCTGTCTCTTCCTATAACCCTTGCTCTGCTTAATTTTTCTTTATAAGACTTGACAAACTTCCTATTTATCTATTTTGTTTGTTTGGTTGTTGTCTCTGCTCTCTAGAGCATAAGCCCCATGAAGGCAGGACTTCGTTTTATTCTTTGCTATATAACTCATGTGCCCAGAGCAATATCTGGAAGTAGGTTAATGCTCGGTGTTTTTGAGCAATGAATTAATAATTGGGTGAGTGAGAAATGGATAAACAAATAAATGGACACAGGTCATTTGGTGACCATTTCCACACATCCTGGGTACAATTCACTAGTTATAGAGTCATGAGGCTCAAAGACCAATCTTCACTAAACTGGGCCTCTCTGAGGGTATTTAAGAAAAAGCCAATCAAGTAAGAGCCAACAGAATAAGGAGCCAGGAGCACCCTGCCTGAGCTGAGCAAGGGCTCAGCTCAGTTCATCCAGGTACTTACACATAAGTCCTGTTAGACTTTTAAGCTGGCCTGGACGTGGGTAGACAGGGTGTGGGCACTCCTTTCTCTCAGATGGAAAGTTGCTTCACCCAGCAGATGATACAGAGACTGAGATTTCTTCTCCTAAATAAATCTCTCCATTTCTCTGTTCTGACAGTGCCTTTCGTTTTACTCCTATCACCATCCTAGGTGTGAGAGGGTGCAAAAGAGAAAAAAAGAAGATGCCATTGTTCATTCCCCAGCACCCCTGGCCTCAGTAGAACATAAGAACTATCTGAACTAGAGGGAATTTGCATAGCTTCCTCATTACATCCTCATTCTCTGCCCTCCCACTCCCCACCCCCTTTAATTCTGGCCTTTAGAAGCTTTGCAGGGTTTTTAATTACAATCAAAAAAGGGCATGATCAATAGTTAAGTAAAATAAAATAACAATACTTAAAATTACAATGGAGCACCCCAAACGATCGACGGTTTATTCTCTGCCTTAAAATAAAATAGCTTTCATCTTTTCCCCCTTACAACAGCCTCCTCCGCCTAGATAATGCATTTCGTTAGATTTATTTGCTCAGCCCTGAAAACTTGACACTAAGGGGATTATTTAGTTTTAGATTTGCTGTAGTCCATAGTAATAGCCAACAGGAAAAGGAATGAAGCAGCAATATTAGCAGGGCAATGGGAGGGGAGGGGGCTGTGCAGTTTGCAGCTAAGCAAAACTGCTTGCATAAACACCATTAAGAAGATTTAGACATCGCTTTCCTTATCATCAGCACTCCTGGAAGAAATAAAAAAAAAGAAAAAAGGGAAAGGGACAGGCCTTGACTTGCTGTGTATGTGTTTCCATTAAAGGTTCAATAGGAAATAAAACCAGTTGAGAGTCCAAATGCAATGATGCTACAGACCTATCCACGCTACCTCATCATAGTCCAAAAGAGACATTTGTTCCACATGTTACTGGAAGAAGCAACTGGACAGAGAACAAAACACCCTGCATTGCCCAATCTGTGTCTGAGCATATGAAACTAAGGCTGCTTCCTAGGTTGCCCCTGCGTTCCATTTATCACACCCCCATCTGCCTTCTTTACAACCCCTCTACACACACAAACACACCACACACACACACACGTACACACACACACACATACACACATCCCAAGATAAAATATTCCTGATTTTCCATGCTCTATCCAAACCACTAATTATCAGGGTACTGAGAACAAGAACTGGTGTGAGACAGGAGGGACTTGTAATGACCAGAAAGGCTAGTCCTGTGTTTGGCTGCAGTTGTGTGGCAGAAAGAAAGATGAGAGGAAGCCAAGCAGGAGGGAGAAGTAGTAGAGGAGACTGGTCAAATCCCACGAGAGAAAGTGGAAAAACATTTCAGCAATTGAAAGTGGTTTTAAAGAAGTGCTGGAATCAAATGGGCCATTCCTGGAGAAGTGTCTGTTGGTCTGTCTGTCTAGGCAAAGGAAAAGTTGCAAGTAGGCATTGTATGTTTATGGAGCACCAAGAAAAGATAATAACTCTGCTGTGGGAGTCCAGAAAATAACATTTGGGATTTTAACCACTGTGCCATTTTCTAGATCCATCCTTAGCAAGAAATTGCTAAATGGTAAAAGGGTGTGTGTCTACATATATAATTTTTTAATGCAGACATAAGGGCTCTTGGGATTTGTAGTATACATTCTTTAAAAAACTAATTAGTAACTAAATGTTATTAGCAAAACACACAGCAACAACACAAGGAAACATATTTTTCATTATCAAATTGTGGACAAAATATTGGCATCCCTGGAGCTCTACACTTGTTTTTTCCTTCCCTCCACTCACCAGACTTTCCATTCTGTGGGTTCATTTTCCTGGAGGCCATATATCTCAGGAGCTGCTGAGGATTGCACACACAAAACCTTTTTTTTTTTTTTTTTTCGCTTTTTTTGAGACAAGGTCTCACTTTGTTGCATAGGCTGGAGTGCAGTGGTGTGGTTATGGCTCACTGCAGCCTCGACTTCCTGGGCTCAAGCAACCCTCCCACCTCAGGCCCTCAAGTAGTTGGGACTAAAGGCATGCGCCACCATGCCTGGCTGATATTTCTTTTCTTTTTTTCTTTCTTTCTTTTCTTTTCTTTTTTTTCTTTTCTTTTTTTTTTTTGGAGAGACGAGGTTTCGTTATGTTGCCCAGGTCTGAAACTTCTGGGCTCAACGGATCCACCTACCTAAGCCTCCGAAAATGCTGAGATTACAGGCATGAGCCACTACTCCTGTTTTTTAGAGGATATAGATAGAATGGATCCTGTGTCCCATAATAAATTAAGGGCAACTTGTCACACCCCTTCCATACAAAGACTGAATCAGCAGACACCACAGCCAAATCAGAGGGAAGGATGGCATGGGCTTGCTTGGTTAAGCAACAGAATAACAGCAATAATAACATAAATATAATTGCAATTTATGAGTTCTTGTTATTTGCCAGGTTCTGTAATTAATGCCATCATTACTATCTTCTTTTTTTTACAGATTCAGAAGCTGGTGCTTGGAGGAGTTAAATAATTAGGCCCAGTCACTCACTTAGAATATGAGAGCCTTTTTCTGCTTGTTTCCCAAGCCTGTGCCCCTAACAATGACTTACATTGCCCCAACAAGATGAGAGGCTGGTGTCTTCAGGGCTGTTCATTCTCAGAGCCAATTAGATCATCCATAGCAAATTCTCTCTAATGCACCTCTCCCAAGCTCATTAAACTCTTACAGGGGAGGGTGGGAGTGGGGGATCTTAAATCTTAGACTCTCATAACTGTGAAAGATGGGAATAAGAATGAGAGTCGCTTTGACATGACCATGGCTGTGATTTAATTCCTCAGACCAAAAACCAGGACTGACCAACCCAAGCCCTCATAGCCATCTATTCACCATGAACCAGGAAAGTCTGCTTCCTCCATTTGGGCATGCTGAATGAGCAGACTTTTGCTTATGCTCTCATCCTTAGCACATGTATCAGGTATCCAAGGTCTGATGTGAGAAATATGTGACCAGTCATCTCTGGTTCCCTGTGGTCTTCAAACTCCCTGTGCCCCTAGATCCCCTGGAAACTTGCCCCACACCTTGAGCTCACTGATGTCAGGGATTGTGCTGGTTCAGCTCTATATCCTCAGCATCCAGAACTTCTGGCACAGAGAGCTCAGGAAACACCTGTTTAGTGCCACTGTCCATTTCACTGCATCCGTGGGTTGCTGGGAACATTTTTTGTCCACTGCCACCAAGCGGGACTGACTTAACAGCCCCAGGTAGGCAAGTAAGTATGCTTTAAAAAAAAATTGTTTCTAGTAAAATAGTTTTCCACCAGACTTAATAACACATTACGGCATTTAATAACTCCCTTGTCAGAAAGTTTTTTTCATTAACCAACTTCTATTTCTCTTGTGAAGCACCAAACTTACTTTCATGTCCATCCACTGTAGAGACAGAGAATAATTAATGATACACCATCCCTTAAGTAATAATTCTTTATCTGCTTGAAGCTTATTTACTGGTCTTGTAAAAATTATCTTTCTATTGCCCTAGTCCCAGGGTGCTAGTATAATGTAATGATAGAGGAGTAAGGACTGACACAAACCCTAACCTCCAGTTTTTTCTTGCCATGATTTTAACCAAATGTCAAATGAAAAGATGGGCAACTAATAAGGGTCCAGGTCAATACTGCTCAGAGATGTCCCACCCATGCAGAACAGTTTCTGTGCAGTTGTAGCTCATGCTGACATTCTGCAAAGCCCACCCACCCCCTGCCCCTGGGCCCCAGAGCACATCCATATGGACAGACCCTCACCTTTTGGAGGGCTGCTGCCATTATCTGGGATCCTTGAGTTCAACACAAATGTCTCAAATGCTTAACAACAATAGCCTAATTTTTGAGTGCTTATGCAAATATATATATATATATATATATATATGTAATATATATGTAATGCAGACATAAGGGCTATTTGTGTAAGGTATTTCTAATAATGGCAGGGTTTGTGGTACAGATTAAAAAATAATTGGTACTAAATGTTAGCAAAACACAGAAAAACACAAGGAAACTTTTTTTTTCATTAACAAACTTGTACATAAAATGTGTCAGACATTGTTCCATCTCTTTTGGTCCTCATTACTACCTATAAAACAGGTTTTATTATTATCCGCATTTTACTGAAAAGGAAATATAGGACAAAGTGAGTGAGTAAACTTGCACAAAATTCTACAGTTTATTATAGGTAGAGCTGAGAGCTGAACCCCAATAGTCTGACTCCAGAGCCTGTGTTTATAGCCCAACAACATAATACCACCAAGGCTTATCACAGTGCCTGGCATACAGTGGGCACCCAATATATATCTGGTGAATTTCAATGAGATGGGTGGTATATTTTCTAGAGATCTGGTTATCCAAAGAGATTGTCCCCAAGAAGTCTCAGCTTTCAAAACATTATTCTGTCTGTCAGAGAGTTAAAAGCAAAACTTCCAAAATTCAAGAGTAGCAGTGGTGCAAGGAATAGAAAATCTTTAAAGCCAAAAAAAATCTTAATCTACTGGGGAGAAATAATGAGTTTTATTTAAGAAAGAGCATGAAACAGTTTTCAAGGAGAATATGAGCAAATAAACTAACAAATACTAAGCCAAGCATCCAATATGAACTCATCTGTGACACAGAAAAATATAAAAACTCTTTTTCATATGATTGTTGGCTGCATGTACATCTTCTTTTAAAAACTGTCTGTTCATGTCCTTTGCCCACTTTTATGGGATTTTTTGTTTTTTTCTTCTTGTCAATTTGTTCAAGTTCCTTATAGATGCTGTATGTTACACCTTTGTCAGCTGCATAGTTGGCAAAATTTTTCTCCCATTCTGTAGGTTGTCTGTTTACTCTGTTGATGGTTTGCTGTGCAGAAGCTCTTTAGTTTAATCTGATCCCATTTGTCAATTTTTGCTTTTGTTGCAATTGCTTTTGGTGTTTTGATCATGAAATCCGTGTCTGTGCCTATGTCCTGAATGGTATTGCCTAGGTTGTCTTCCAGGGTTTTTGTAGTTTGGGGTTTTACATTAAAGTCTATAATCTATCTTGAATTAACTTTTGTATATGGTGTAAGGAAGAAGTTTAGTTTCAATCTTCTGCATACAGCCAGCCAGTGATCCCAGCACCATTTATTGAATAGGAAATACTTTCCCCATTGTTTGTTTTTGTCAAGTTTGTTGAAGATTAGATAGTTATAGGTGTGCAGTATTATTTCTGGGTTCTCTATTATTTTCCATTGGTCTATGTGTCTGTTTTTGTACCAGTGCCATGCTGTTTTGATTACTATAGCCCTGCAGTATAGTTTGAAGTCAGGTAGCATGATGTCTCCAGCTTTGTAAAAGCTCAACATCACTGATCATTAGAGAAATGAAAATCAAAACCACAATGAGATACCATCTAACACCGGTCAGACTGGCTATTATTAAAAAGTCAAAAAATAAAAGATGGTGGTGAGGTTGTAGAGAAAAAGGATGTTTTATACACTGTTAATGGGAGTGTAAATTAGTTCAACCATTGTGGAAGATGGTGCGGTGATTCCTCAAAGACCTAAAGACAGAAATACCATTCAACCCAGAAATCTCATTACTGGATATATACCCAAGGGAATATGAATCATTCTATCATAAAGACACATGCATGCTTATGTTCATTGTGGCACTATTCACAATCGCAAAGACATGAAATCAACCTAAATGCCCATCAAGATAGGTTGGATAAAGAAAGTGTGGTACATATACACCATGGAATACTACGCAGCCATAAAAAAAATGAGATCATATTCTTTGCAGGGACATGGATGGAGCTGGAGGCCATGATCCTTAGCAAACTAACACAGGAACAGAAAACCAAAGACTGCATGTTATCACTTATAAGTGGGAGCTAAATGATGAGAACACATCAACACATAGAGGGAAACAACACACACTGGGCCTTTCAGAGGGTGGAGGGTGGAAGGAGGGAGAGGATCATGAAAAATAACTAATAGGCACTAGGCTTAATACCTGGATGATGAAATAATCTTTACAACCAACCCCCATGACACAAATTTACCTATGTAATAAATTTGCACTTGTACCCCTGAACTTAAAATTTAAAAAAAAAGAAAAATACAAAAGCATGTCCACTTAATCTCAAATATTTCACAGTAATGACAAAATTAATGCCATAGAATCCTGGAAGAAAAAAGGACCGTTGGGCCATCTAGACTAGTGCCATCAGGCCATCTGATATGGTTTGACTCTGTGTTCCCACCCAAATCTCATCTCGAATAGTAATCCCCACTTGTCAAGGGAAGGACCTGGTGGGAGGTGACTGGATCATCGGGGCAGTTTCCCCCATGCTGTTCTCATGATAATGAATGAGTTCTCCTGAGATCTGATGGTTTTATAAGGGGCTCTTCCCCCTTGGCTTTCTTTTCTGTCTCTTGCTACTGTGTGAAGAAGATCCTTGCTTCCCCTTCATCTTCCGCCATGATTGTAAGTTTCCTGAGGCTTCCCAGCCATGTGAAACTGTGAGTTAATTAAACCTCCTTCCTTTATAAATTACCCAGTCTCGGGTATTTATTTATAGCAGTGTGAAAATGGACTAATACACCATCTTTGCATTCATGGACACTGAAGCTCTGCATGATCAGCATGCTGCCAACCTCTCCCCCTCACTCACTTGCCCTTACCCCAGTGACCTTCTCTCTGTTCTTTTGTACTAGCAGCTTCCTCTGTCCAGAAGGCTCTGTCCCATATCTTTAACATGGTGTCTCTTCATGTCACTCAGGTGTCAACTTCAATATATCTTCTTCAGAAAAGCCTTTTCTGAACTCTGAGGCCAAAGTAGACCCTCTACATACACACAGACATACACAAACACACACACACAAGCCAGTTTTAGTCTAGCTCCTGTTGAAATGACCAGATCTTTATTTGCTTACATGTTTATCATGTCTCCTCCACTGAATTTATACTCTTTAAAGTATGTTTACTGCTCTGTTTATCACTATATCAGCACCTACATTAGTACCTAGCACTATTTTTGAGTGATTTGATTTCTTTTTAAAAATCTTTAAGAATTGGTACATATTATCTGTATATATTTATGGGGTATGTGTTATCTTGTCATATACATAGAATGTGTAATGATCAAGTCAGGGTATTTGTGGCACCCATTACCTTGAGCATTTACCATTTCTATGTATTGGGAACATTTCAAATTCTCTCTTCACACTAGAAGCACCATATATTTTGAAATATATAATACATTGTTTTTAACTATAGTCACCCTACTCTGCTATTTGTTTCTACCTAACTGTATGTTTGTGCCCATTAACCAACCTCTCTTCATCCACCCATCCACCTCCACACTGTTTCTATCCTCTAATAGCTATCATTCTACCCTCTACCTTCACAAGATCAAATTTTTTAGCTGCCACATATGACTTAGAAACATGTGAGATTCATCTTTCTGGACCTGGCTTATTTCAATTAACATAATGACCTCCTGTTCCATCCATGTTGCTGCAAATGACATAATTTTATTCTTTTTATGGCCAAATAGTATCCCATTGTGTAGATATATACCAGATTTTCTTATCCATTCATCCATTGATGCATACTTAGGTTGATTCCATACATTGGCTATTGTGAGAAGTGCTGCAGTAAACATGGGAGTACAGGTATCCCTTTGATGTACTGATTTCTTTTCCTTTGGATAAATTCCCACTAGTGAGATTGCCAGATTATGTGGCATGTCTATTTTTAGATTTTTGAGAAATCCCTATACTGTTTTCCATAGTGACTGTACAAATTTACATTCTCACCAACAGTGTATAAGATTCCCCTTTTCTTCACATCTTTGTTACTTTTTATCTTTTAAGTAATAGCCATTCTCACACTAGAGTAAGATGATATCTCATTTGGTTTTGATTTGCATTTCCCTGATGATTAGTGATGTTGAGCATTTTTTCATATACCTGTTGGGCATTTGTAGTCTTCTTTTGAGAAATGTCTATTCATGCCTTTTGTCCACTTTTAACTGAGATTTTTTTTAAAAAAATTCTTTACTGTTGAATTCCTTGTACATTCTGGATACTAGTCCTTTGTTGGATAAATAGTTTGCAAATATTTTCTCCCATTCAGCAGGTCATCTCTCACTCTGGTGACTGTTTCCTTTGCTGAGCAGAAGCTTTTTTGTTTAATATAGTCCCATTTTCCTATTTTTGTTTTTGTTGCTTGTGCTTTTGAGGTCTTAGCAATAAAATCTTTGCCTAAACCAATGTCCAGAAGAGTTTCCTCTATATCTTCTTCTAAGTAGTTTTATAGTTTCAGGTCTTACATTTAAGCCTGTAATGTATCTTGAGTTTATTTTTGTAGCTGGTGGGAGACAGCAGTTCAGTTTCATTCTTCTGCACATGGGTATCCAATTTTCTCAGCACCATTTATTAAAGAGGGTGTATTTTCCCCAATGTATGTTATTGATGCCTTTGTTGAAAATTAGTTGGCTGAAAATATGTGGATTTATTTCCAGGTTCTCTATTCAGTTCCAGTGGTCTATGTGGCTGTTTTTATACCAATACTATGTCATTTTGATTATTATAGTCTTGTAAAATATTTTGAAGTCAGGTAGTGTGATGCCTCCAGCTTTGTTCTTTTTGCATATGATTGCTTTGGCTATTCAGGCTCTTTTGGGGTTCCATACAAAATTTAGTATTTAACAAATTTCTGTAAAAAATGATGTTGGTTGGTATTTTGATAGAAATTGCAAATAGGAACAATTTAATTTCCTTTTTTGCCAATGCGGATGTCTTTTATTTCTTTGTGTTGCCTGATTGCTCTGGTTAAGACATCCAGTGCAATGCTGAATAGGAGTGGTGAAAGTGGACATCCTTCTCTTCTTCCAGTTCTTAGAGGAAAGGCTTTCAGTTTTTCCTCATTCAGTATGATGTCAGTGGTGGCTTTGTCATATATGGCCTTTATTATTTTGGAGCATATTCCTTCTATACCTAGTTTGTTGAGAGTTTTTATCATGAAGCAGTGTTGAATTTTATCGAATGCTTTTTCTGTGAATATTGAGATAATCATATGGTTTTTGTCCTTCATTCTGTTGATGTAATGTATCCCATTGATTTGCATATGCTGAACCATCCTTGTATCCATGGCATAAATCCCACTTGATTGTGTTGTATTATTTTCTTTAATAGGCTGTGGATTCAGTTTGCCAGTATTTTGTATCTATATACATGAGGAATATCAGCCCACAGTTTTATTTTTATGGTGCATCTTTGTCAGCTTTTGGTATCAGAATAATGCTGGCCTCATATAATGGGTTAGGGAAAATTCCTTCTTCTTTGATTTTTGGAATAGTTTGAGGAAAGTTGGTGTAAGTTCTTCTTGGAAAGTTTGGTAGAATTCCACAGTGAATCCATCCAGTTCTGAGTTTTTCTTTCTTGGGAGACTTATTGAGTCAATCTCATTATTCATTATTGGTCAGTTCAGGTTTTCTATTTCTTCCTGATTCAATCTTGGTAGGTTTTATGTGTCCAGGAATTTATCCATTTTCTCTAGGTTTTCCAGTTTGCTAGTGTGTAGTTGCTTAAAATAGCATCTGATGATCTTTTGCATTTTTGCGGTACCAGTTGTAATGTCTCCATTTTAATTTCTAATTTTGTTTATTTTGCTCTTCTCTCTTTTTTTTTTCTTGGTTAGTCTAGGTAGTAGTTTGTCAATTTTGTTTACCTTTTAAAAAAACCTGCTTTTCATTTCATTGATTCTTTGCATTTTTAAGTCTCAATTTCATGTAGTCCTATTTCATTTTTATTCTTTCTTTTATTTTATTTTTTAACTAATTTGGGGTTTGGCTTATTCTTGCTTTATTTCTTGGGGTGCATTGTTAGACTGTTTATTTTAAATCTTTCTGTTTTGTGATGTAGGCACTTATTTCTATAAATTTCCCTCTTAGCACTGCTTTTGCTGTATCCCATAAATTTTGGTATGTTGCCTTTTGATTTTCGTTTGTTTCAAGAAACTTTTAAATTTCTCCTTTAATTTTTACGTTTGCCCAGTGGTCATTCAGGAGCATGATGTTTAATTTCCATGTATTTGTACAATTTTCAAAGTTTCTCTAGTTCTACTCCCTTGTGGGAATACTGAGTTCTAGTTTTTTTCTCTTGTGGTCTAAGAAGACACTTGAAATGATTTTGATTTTTTGAAATTTTTTGAGACATGTTTTGTGCCATAACATACAGTATATGCCAGAGAATGATCTGTGTGCTAATGAGAAGAATGTGTATTCAGGAGCTGTTGGATGAAATGTTCTCTAAATGCCTCTTAGGGGCTTTTGGTCTAAAGTCAGTTTAAATCCAATGTTTCTTCATTAATTTTCCATCTAGATGATCTGTTTATTGCTAAGAATGGGTTGCTGACGTCCTCAACTATTATTGTATAGGAATCATTCTCTCCCTTTAGCTTAAATAATTGTTTTGCATATCTGGAGCTTTGGTGTTGGGTGCATTTATGTTTAGAATTGTTATATCCTCTTGCTGAATTGATCTCTTTATCATTATATAATGACTTCTTTGTCTCTTTTTACTGTTTTTGATTTAAAGTCTGTTTTCTCTGGTGTAAGTACAGCTACTTACACTTGCTTTTAGTTTTCATTTGCATGGAGTATCTTTTTTCCATCCCTTTACTTTCAATCTATATGTTTTCTTTGCAAGTGAGATGAGTTTCTTGCAGGCAGCATACAGTTGGGTCTGTAGGTGACATACAGTTGGATTGTGTTTTTTAATCCACTCAGCTGGTCTATATCTTTTAAATGGGAGGTTTAATCCATTTAAATTCAGGGTAATTATTTATATGTGAGGACTTAATTTCTTTTTAATTAGTCTTTTTCGTAGAGTATAATTTACATACTAAGTAATTCACCTATTCCAAATGTACATTTCAGTGAATTTTGACAAATATGTAGTCATGTAACCATTGCCATAATCATAATGCAGAACATTTTCATCATCTCAAACTTCCCTCTTGCCTTTGGTAATTAATCCCCCTCCTCAACCTAGTGTCTGGCAGTCATGAATAAGCTTTCTGTATGTGTGTATTATGTAATTTATAATTTCTGAATATAATTTTGAAATATTTTAGTAGCTCTCTCCCTTCATCATTTTTTATTGAGTAATGGCTCTCTAATCAGTTTTTTAACAGATTTAACATATTTATTTATTTAATTGTAATAAGACACATATTTTAAATGCACCATTTAGTAGGTTTTAACATACTTATATACCCATTAAACTATCGCCACAATCAAGAGAGTGATCATACACATTGCCAAAAAGATCACTCATATCCTTTTGTAATCACTTTTTCCCATTTCTCCTCCTCACTCCCTATCCCCAGATAACTATTTATCTACTTTCTATAACTATTGTTTACATTTTCTATAGTTTTATATAAATAGACTCTTACAGTGTGTGCTATTTTTTGGCTTGACTTCTTTCACTTGGCATAATTATTTTAAGACTTCCATATTTTAGGTGTTTCCATAGTTCATTCATTTTTACTGCTGAGTAGTATTCCATTGTATGTATATACCACAGTTTGTTTATCCATTCAATTATCCGTGGACATTTGGGTTGTTTCCACTCTAGCTATTGCAAACAACCAACAAAATTTACATACAAGTATTTGAATGGGTATATGCTTTCATTTAGATTTTTTGAAGCCAGACAAAATCAGAGAGTAGCTACTCAATGATTACATCATATGAAATTCTAGAAAATGCAGGAACTAATAAATGGTTGCTGAAATACTGTTCACCCAAGGTGAGGATTAACTGATGCTCCTGAACTGACCTCAAGTTAAGAGATGTGTAGACAGCCTCATTGGCCTGATTTTCATCTCTTTATAAAGTTACTACACAGAACCTATGCAGTGGACTTATCCTAGATTTGAAGGGGAAGCTGGCATTTGAATTAGGGGTTTTGTGCAGAAGACGAAATGGGATTACAGACATCATATTTAAGTTTACTGAGTATTTGCAACATAAGAGCCTACATGTAACAAAGTTAAATGTGAATGGAAAATAAGACCAGGATGAAAATAGATTTTGAATCTGGGACTGACTTTATCTAACTGAAACATCTCTTTGTAATGTTCTGAACTGGCAAATCCATCTCAGAGGCAGCCACATATATGACAAATCATTTCTTGATGAACTGGTCCCATACACGGTCTCCTTCAGACAAGACCTCACACTTGGGATACAATTTACCACCCCATTCACATCCCCCCATAAAGTTATTTTCAAGAATTCTGAATTCAGAATTTTAATTTAGTTATCTTTTTAGTTTGAAGTAAATTCAAGTTTTCTAAAACCATCACAGCAAGAGCAAGATTATTGCCTAGGCCATGCTTCAAACTTGTCTAAGGATCAGTAAAACCTGGAAGACCCTAAATAACTATTTAAAGTATTTAAAAGAGCTTTAAAGAGCTTCTCTGCTTACTATGTGAACACCACTCAGATTTAGTTATAAACCAAGGGTCTTACCTGAGAAAAGAATGAGGTCTAGAAAGTGGATATGTGTACAATCGAGTGATTTGGGTTTCGGTAGGGGTTGGAATAGAACAGAATTGTGGAAGTATGTTTATCCTCTTTAGAACCTGGAGGCAAATAGTGAAGGGATAAAGAAACTTCAGAATGGAAACAAATATGAGACCGGGTTTTTACATTAACTCAGGCTATGAACACAGGATCTATCTTAGAGAAATCTGTGTGTGAAAGTCACTAGGGATGTTCCCTCTGGGAATATCAGTGGTTTGTATTTCTTTACCCACTTGAAATTAGCTGTGGCCCTGCAGTTTGCCTTGCTGAGTGAGATATGAACAGAAGCATTAAGAATCAGTGTGTTCTTTGCTATATCTGCTTTTCCATCTGGCATAGTGAATAGCAATATTTACAATGTGGCTGCTTCATAAGCCTGAGTTCCTGCCAATCTACAATGACATGTAAGTGAGCAAAACCCTTTGTTTTTTTAAGCCACTGGGATTTTGGGGGATGTTTGTTATTGTGTATGCTTAACCTGTCCTGACTAATACATTAGAAGAGCCAAATGACTGAAGTATTTAAACATAAGATATATTTGGAATTAAAATGGGCCTTGGGAACAAGATATTTAGGAAAGAGCTGATGCAATGGCTAAATCACAAATGAGCAACATAGGTGTTTACTACGCCAGGAGAAAAGACCACAGGAACACTAGCCAGGAATACTCTGGCAACATGGTACACTGAGGATGAAAGGATGGCAGAAGAGTAAGATGAACTATTTTCTACCCTCTCCTTTGTCACATAGCCACAGGACCCATTTCTGAGGAAAAGAGATGGAAAAGAAAGAGGCAGAAGAATTTCCCAATTGACTGAGCTTAAATCTAGAATCATTTGATTAATTACCTGAAATAGACTGAATTACATTTAATTGACAAAGAAAAAATTTGCCTCATTATCACTGGGAATGGGAGAATACAGCATCATCTTCTGTCCACCCTTCTGTGGTGTTTCTGACAAAAATGCTTATATCATGAAGTAATATCAGGAAAACTCCAAGGAACTTGTCTGTGCTTTTAAAAAACATCAACTTCATTCAGTCAAGAAAAGTGTAAGCAAATATTCCAGACAAAAGAGACATGACAACTAGTTGCACCAGGTATCCTGGATTGGATTCTAGACCCATAAACAACATCACAACATTACAATATTAGCAAATGTGAATGGGATCTGTGGATTAGATAATACTGGATTAATATTAATTTCTTGATTTTGATGGTTATATTGTGGCTTTCTGAGAAAGATTTCAGAAAATATACCCTAAAAATTAAGAAGTATTTCTTCTTTATGTTTAAAACTTATTCTCTAGGGTTTAGAAATGTTGTCAATTAGGAAATCTGGTTGAAGGGTATATAAGAGCTCCTTGTGTTATTTTTTCAAGTTTCATGTATTTAAAATTATTTAAAATAAAAAGGTTAAAACATACAAAAGCAAATAAAAATTAAATAAATTAAAAAGTTAATAAAATTATTGTCTAAATAACATAAATATATAGCTAACAAACTCAACTCTATACTAAAAAGCAGAGAATATACATTTTTTCAAGAATATTTGCAACAATTCACTATACAGTAGTGTCTTTAACACTAACATTTATTGATAAGAACAAAATGAAAATAAATGTATATAGCATTTATAGCCATCAGGACATAAGTTATTTTGCTATAATAAATAATGGCAAAACATCTGAAGGACTGAAGATAACAAAAGTTTTTCTTCATTCTATTCATTCATAGTCATTCAGGTCAATGGAGGCTTGCATGATCACCAGAGGAGAGGAATAAGGACATGGAAAAGTGTGCACTGGCGCTTACCCCTTCTCCATCAAAGGGTGAGACACATCACTTCTACTCATATCTCATTGCGCAAGGCAAATCTTATTTCCATATTGAGTTATGGAGAGAAGCGGTTCTATCATAATCCCAGAAGGAGCATATTTTAAGCAATCCTAATGCTACATGCAGAAATCAACTCCAAAAGTTAGCAAAAGAATAACAGTAAGAACAAAAATTAAATAAAGCAGACTGATACGATTAAAAAACAAAACAAATAATAAAAATCAGTACATATCCTTACAATGTTGCAAACTGTAAGTCCCTCGTAAATCTAATTTCCCTTTCTTTCATAGCAATAGGGTATATGGCAGTCTTGCAGAGATCACAATTTCCAGTATTTCCTGTGGCTCTGCAGGCCACTTGATTAAACTCTCACTAATGAGTGTGAACAGAAATGCTGGGTGCTCATTCTATGTCACTTACTTTAAAGAAAACGTATGGCCTTGGGTTTTCTTTCTTTTCTCTTTTCCATTCTGGAATGCAGACCTGGTGATGATCCCACTTTGGCTATACAGATGAAGAAAATACCCTTGGAGTGGATGAGGTTTCTGGAGAAGAAACCTGGGATCTTGGATGACTTTGAGAAACAGGGTGACTAACCTGGACTAGCTGGACTGTTGTATGAAGAGGAACAAAACTTCTACCTGGTTTACACCACTGTACTTTGGGGTCTTTTCCTTATATCAGCTTAACCTTTGCCCTAATTAAAATTACATATAAAGGCCAGTCTGTTAAAAAGGGCTATGAAATAGATGAAGGTAGGTAACAGTCAAGTAAACAAGAGCCAGCACAAAATCAGAAGCAAGGGCAGGGAAGTATCCTCAAATAATGAATTAACTGGACATATAACATATACTTTCTTTGACACTATGCAAAATGATGATTTTTCTATAAAAATAGAAATTTCCAAAATCTACCTCAAAGAAAATATATGACTGAAATTGTTTCAGAGGTGAATGCAGTAGAATAATCAAGACAAACAAAATTCTAATACTATGCACACTGTCCCAAAACATAATGAGAGAAATAACTCTTCTAAATTCTGTCTGCAAAAATGAGCATAATTTTGACAGTAGAACTTGACCCAGATGGCACAAAAATAGAAAATTACATATCTGTCTAACCAGAATGTCATTATAAAAATCACAAAATATTACTTGCCTACTAACAAATACCATCCAATAGCACAATATAGACTATATCACAATACAAGAATAATTTGCTACTATGAAACATTTTAATAGAATTATCTACATTAGTGGAGAAAAGGAGAAAATTTAAGATCAAAGGATTTTTTTAACAAAACATAACATACATTCCTGATTTTAAATGTCTTATTATACCAAAATTAATAGAAACTTTCTTATTGTAATTTTATATATACAGAAGTATGGTTCATTTTATATAGAGTGTTATAGTTAATTTCACTAGAAGCATATTTCCATTAGAGTAGAAATGCCCCCATCAACATTTCTATATAGCATTGTTCTGGAAATTCAGGCAAATGCAATTTAGCAAGAGAAGGAGTAAGTGCTATAGTATTTAAAAATGAGGAGACAAAATAATTATTTTTAGCATGTGATATGCCTTTTAACCTGGAAAACCCAGGAGAATCAACTGAAAAATACTTCATAGAAAACAGACAATTCAGTTAAGTGCCTGGTTGCAATATTAAACAGAAAAAATAGCTTTTCAGGGGACAAGCAAGCTCTAAACACAGACGGAAAATATGTTATTTAAATAGCACCAAGAAATTTAAAATACTGAAGAAAAATTTTGAGTATTGTTTCATCTTTCTACGAAGAAAAATTTTCAGCTTTGTTGAGAGATGCAAGAGAGTTGACTGAAAGATCTACTATATTCTTGCTTAGGAGGACTAGATAGGATATCAATGTTAATTCTTTCAGAATTATTCTATAATTTCAATAAAAATTCAATAAAAAGCAAATGATTTTTCTTTTAGATAAAAGTATTCAAAATTTCAGATGAAAATATAAATATTTGAGGGTAACCAGAACAAATCTGTAAAAAAATAATATGAAGGGGCACTATACCAAATAATAAACATATGATAAACTTACAGTAATTAAAACAATCTGGTACTGGCACAAGAATAAACAGATTATTGGAAAAGAGAGATCAGAAATAGGTCCAAGTTCATATGGGATTTTAATTTATGAAATGTGGCATTGCCATTCAGTGGAATAATGATACATTAATCAGCAAATGATGTTGTGGCAACTGGCTAGCCATTTGGAACAAAATAAACCTTGATCACTACCTCATTTATTACATCAAAATGAATTACTTGGATCACAGTTTTAAATATAAAATATTAAATCATAAAAGTAACAGTAAACAACAGGAGGAAATTTATTTGTGACACTTGGTGCAGCCTTACTTATAATTATGAAAATATGCATTGAAATGACAAGATACCATGTTTTGTCTATCAAATCAAAAATTTAAAATATATTTTTAAATATTATAGTTGGAAAATAAATATTTTCACAGCTAGTAGTGAGATTGCAAATCAATGCAAGCTCTTTGGAGGGAAATTTGACAATTTAACCCAGCAATTCCATGTCTAAGAATTTAACTTTCAGATGTACTTGCAAATTGTGTAAATATGTATTCACAAGAATGTTTACTTCTGCATTGTCAGTAAAAGCAAAACACAAAACAAAGCAAAAAACCCAAACGTCCCTCTCCCCCAAAGAAACAACAGAAAGGAAACAGCTTAAATGTCTTTTACCACATGACTGGCAAATCAAGTATAGTAAGTCTTTACAAAGGAATGCTATGCAGCCATAAAAAAGACTGTGGCAGACCTGTATGTGCTAACAAACAATATTTAAGTTTTATTGTTAAGAGAGAAATGAAAAAGACATGTAGAGCATGGTATGGTCATGTGATTTAAGTATATAAATTTAAACATATATCACAGGTTTAATTGTATATATATATATATATAATGTCTTTAATTGTATATATGTATCTTATGTAATTTATGTATATATAAAATATACATATATATGCCTTTATACTCAGGCCACACCAGACTTCCTACTGTTCTGCCAATGCTCCAGCACATTCCTGCCTCAGAACTTTGCCCTGGGCACCTGGCTCCTGTGTATCTTCATGGTTTACTTTCTCCTCTCCTTACATGTTTGCTCAGATGTCACCCTCTCAGTGAGGCTGAACCTGACTACCCTACTTAAAATTACAATCCCTCAAGACCCTTTAATCTGCTGTGCTGTTTCTCTCCTTCTTTCAATTACCTATTTATCCTACTTGCTTACTTTTTCTGTGGGGTTGTTTTTCTTCTCTGTGTTAATTTATAATAAATCTTTTCATACTCCGGAAGCTAATCACTTATTTTTATATCAATGGCAGATGTTTTCTCCTAGCCAGTGGCTTGTTTTATAAAGTGTTTTTAGTTTATTTTATCACACACAGGGGTTTTTTTTTTTTTTTTTTGCTTTAACATGTTCAAGTTTATCAACATTTTTATGGTTTGTGCTTTTTGTGTCCTATTTAAGATATCTTTTCCTAATGTCATGAAGACATTGTTCCATATTTCTTCTGAAAGTTTAAAATTTTTTTTATGCTTATGTCTTTAATCCATCTAAAATCTGTTTGTGGTGTGAGATGCAGATCTAATTTTATCTTTTCAAACGGTCAGTTTTCTTAGCCCTATTTATTTGGTAGTCCATTCTGTTCCTGCTGATTTGTTCTGCCACCTTTGCCATATACCAAATTTCCATGTATGAAAACATTTTATTATGGGCTCCATATGATGCACTAGTTAAGAGCATGAACTCTGAAGCCAGACTGTCTATGTCTGAATCCCAACTTCATTGCTTACTAGCTACATGACCTTGGACAAATTACTTAACCTCTCTGAGCTTCCTTTATCTCATCAGTAAAATGAGGATAATAATAGTGCTTACTTCATAGGGCTGTTTTAAGGTTTAAATGAGCTAATATTTGTAAAGTGCTTAGAACACATAGTAAGTACTACATATAGTGTAGTATAAGTACTACCTATAGTGTAATATATACATATGTTTGTATGTTGTTTGTTAAGTAAAAATATGTATTTAAGAATAAGCTTATGAAGAACTCTATTTAGATCTTGATTATACACTCATTTGGGAGTACCATCTTTACAATATTAAATCTTCCCATCCATGTACATGGTAAAGGCTTTGATTAACTAGGGTTTTCTTTCACTTGCTTCATTAAAGATGTGCAGCCTTTTCCATGGTCTTGTGCACATTGATTAGATCTATCCCTGGGTACTCTGTAGTTTTTGATGCTGGTATAAATAGACATTGTGTAACAATGTTACTGTTCTTGAAATCATCAACCTTGCTGACCACTTTACTGGTTCTAATATTTGTAGATGCTCTTGGATTTTCTACATACGCAATCTTTTCTTCTGTGTGTAATGAATTATTTCTTTCTTTCTGGTTCTCTCTCTTTTGCTTCTTTCTTGTCTGATTATCATATATATTATTTATTTATTTCAATAGTGTTGAGGGTACAAGTGGTTTTTGGTTACATGGATGAATTGTGTAGTGGTAAAGTCTGAGATTGTAGAGCACCTGTCACCTGAGTAGTGTGCATTGTACCCAATATGTAGCTTTTTAATCCCTCACCCTTTCTTCACACTCTTGTTGGACACTTTTCAAAAGTCCATTATATCACTCTGTATGCCATTTCATACCCACAGCTTAGCTCCCACTTATAAGTGAGAACATACAGTATTTGGTTTTCCAATTTTTAGTTTTTTCATGTAGAATAACGGCTTCCACCTCCATCCAAGTTGCTGCAAAAGAACTTATTTCATTCTTTTTTATGGTAGAGTAGTATTCCATGATGTATACATACCACATTTCCTTTATCCACTTGATGGGCACTTAGGTTGGTTCTGTATCTTTGCAATTGTGAATTGTACTGGGATAAACATGCCCACAGTGTTTTTTATTTTAATATAATGACTTACTTTCCTTTGGATAGACACCCAGTAGTGGGATTGCTGGATCAAATGGTAGGTCTACTTTTAGTTCTTTGAGAAATCTCCATACTGTTTTCCATAGAGGTTGTTAACAATTTACATTCCCACCAGCAGTGTGTAAGCATTCCTTTTTCACCACATCATACCAACATCTAGTGTTTTTTGACATTTTAATACTGGCCATTTGTCTGGGGTAAGGTGGTATCTCATTGTGGTTTTAATTTGCATTTCCCTGATTATTAGTGATGTCAATTGAGCATTCTTATATGGTTTTTGGCCATTTGCATATGTTCTTTTGAGAAATGTCTGTTCATGTCATTTGCTCGCTTTTCGACGGGATTATGCAGAGTTTTTTCTTGATGATTTGTTTGAGCTCCTTGTGGATTCTGGATATTAGTCCTTTCTCAGATGCATAGTTCAAGAATATTTTACCCCATCCTGTGGGTTGTCTGTTTACTCTGATGATCTGATTTTTTTTTTTTGTACAGAAGCTTGTGAATTTAATTAGGTCCCATTTATTTATTTTTTATTTTTGTTGCATTTGCTTTTGAGATCTTAGTCATAAATTACTTGTCTAGGCCAATGTCCAGAAGAGTTTTTCCTAGGTTTTCTTCTAGAATTTTTACGGTTTCAGGTCTTATATTTAAGTCTTTAACCCATCTTGAGTTGATTTTTGTATATGGTGAAAGATAGAGAACCAATTTTATTCTTCCACATGTGGCTTGCCAATTATTTCAGCACCATTTGCTGAATATGGTGTCCTTTTGCCAATTTAGGCTTTTGTATGCTTTGTCAAAGATCAGTTCATTGGAAGTATTTGACTTTATTTCTGGGTTCTCTATTCTGTTCCATTGGTCTATGTATCTATTTTTATACTATTGCTATGCTGTTTTGGTTCCTATATCCTTGTAATATAATTTGAAATTGAAAAATGTGATGCATCCAGCTTTGTTCTTTTTGCCTAGGATTACTTTAGCTTTTTGGGATCTTTTTTGGTTCCATAAGAATTTCAATTTTTTTTCTAATTCTGTGAAAAATGATGTTGGCATTTTGATTGGAATTGCATTGAATCTGCAGATTGCTTTGGGCAGTATAGCCATTTTTAAGATATTGATTCTTCCATTCTATGAACATGGGATATATTTCCATTTGTGACATTTATGATTTCTTTCAGCAGTGTTTTGTAGTTCTCCTTGTAGAGATCTTTCAGCATTTTGGTTAAGTATATTCCTAGGTATTTTTGTTGTTGTTGTTGTTGCAGCTATTGTAAAAGGGGTTGAGTTCTTGATTTGATTTTCATCTTGGGCATTGTTGGTGGATAGCAGTGCTATGGATTTGTGTACATTGATTTTATAACTGAGACTTTACTAAATTTATTTATCAAATTTAGGAATCTTTTGGAGGACTCTTTAGGTTTTCCCAGGTATGCAGTCATATCATTGGCAAACAACAATAGTTTGACTTTCTCTTTTCCAATATGGATGCCCTTTATTTCTTTCTCTTACTTGATTGCTCTGGCTAGGACCTCAAGTAATCTGTTGAATAGAAGTGGTGAAAGTGTGCATCCTTGCATTGTTCCAGGTCTCATGGGGAATGCTTTCAACTTTTTTCCATCCAGTCTGTTGTTGGTTTTAGATTTGTCATATATGATTTTCATTATTTTGAAGTATGTTCTTTCTATGATGTTGTGGGAAGTCAGGGACCCCGAAAGGAGGGACCAGCTGAAGCCATGGCAGAAGAACATAAATTGTGAAGATTTCATGGACATTTATTAGTTCCCCAAATTAATACTTTTATAAATTCTTACGCCTGTCTTCACTGCAATCTCTGAACATAAATTGTGAAGATTTCATGGACACATCACTTCCCCAATCAATACCCTTGTGATTTCCTATGCCTGCCTTTCCTTTAATTTCTTATCCCGTCATCTTCGTAAGATGAGGAGGATGTATGTCGCCTCAGGACCCTGTGATGATGCGTTAACTGCACAAATTGTTTGCAGAGCATGTGTGTTTGAACAATATGAAATCTGGGCACCTTGAAAAAAAGAACAGGATAACAACAATGTTCAGGGAACAAGAGAGATAACCTTAAACTCTGACCACCAGTGAGCCGGGTAGAACAGAGCCATATTTCTCTTCTTTCAAAAGCAAATGGGAGAAATATTGCTGAATTCTTTTTCTCAGCAAGGAACATCCCTGAGGAAGAGAATGCATCCCTGAGGGTAGGCCTCTGAAATGGCCACTTCAGGGGTGGCCATCTTTTAGGATCGCAGCTGTAGGGATGAAATAAGCCCCAGTCTCCCAGAGTGCTCCCAGGCTTATTAGGATGAGGAAATTCCCACCTAATGAATTTTGGTCAGACCAGTTGTCTGCTCTCAAACCCTGTCTCCTGATAAGATGTTATCAATGACAATGCATGCCCAAAACTTCATTAGCAATTTTAATTTTGCCCCAGTCCTGTGGTCCTGTGATCTCACCCTGCCTCCATTTACCTTGTGATATCTTATTACCTTGTGAAGCATGGGATCTCTGTGACCCATGCCCTATTCGTACACTCCCTCCCCTTTTGAAAATCGCTAATAAAAGCTTGCTGGTTTTACAGCTCAGGGGGCATCACAGAACCTGCCGACATGTGATGTCTCCCCTGGACAACCAGCTTTAAAATTTCTCTCTTTTGTACTCTGTCCCTTTATTTCTCAGACTGGCCAACACTTAGGGAAAATAGAAAAGAACCTACGTGAAATATCGGGGGTGAATTTCGCCCGATACTATGCCTAGTTTGTTGTGGGTTTTTATTATAAAGAGATTGTGGATTTATTGACTGCTTTTTCTGCATCCATTAAGAAGATCATATGGTTTTTGTTTTTAATTCTGTTTATGTGATGTATCACATTTATTGACTAGTATATGTTAAACCATCCCTGCATCTCTGGGATGAGACCCACTTGATCATGGCATATTGTCTTTTTGATGTGCTGCTGAATTTGCTGTGCTAGTATTTTGTTGAAGACCTTTGTATCTATGTTTATCAGGGATATTAGTCTGTAGTTTTCTTTTTTTGTTATGTCCTTTCCTGGTTTTGGTATTAGGGTGACACTGGCTTCATAGAATTAGTTAACGAGTATTCCTTCTTATTCAGTCTTTTGCAATAGTTTCAGTAGGATTGGTACCAATTCTTCTTCTTCTTCTTTTTTTTTTTTTTAGAGGGAGTTTTGCTCTTGTTGCTCAGGCTGGAATGCAAGGGTGCAAGCTTGGCTCACTGCAACCTCTGCCTCCCAGGTTCAAGTGATTCTCCTGCCTCAGCCCTTCAAGTAGTTGGGATTACAGGCAACTGCCACTACACCTGGCTAATTTTTGTATTTTTAGTAGAGACAGGGTTTCACCATGTTGGGCAGGTTTGTCTCGAACTCCTGACCTCAGGTGATCTGCCCACCTCGGCCTCCCAAAGTGCTGGGATTACAGGCATGTGGCACTGTGCCTGGCCCCAATTCCTCTTTGAATGGTAGAATTCGGCAGTGAATACATCTGCCACAGGGCTTTTTTTTTGTTGGCAACTTTTTATATTTGTTCGATCTCATTGCTTGTTATTGGTCTGTTCAGGATTTCTATTTCTTTCTGATTCAATCTAGCAGGGTTGTAGGTTTCCAAGAATTTATTTGCTTCTTCTAGATTTTCTAGTCTGTATGCATAGAAGTGTTCATTGTAGTGTCGAATGATCTTTTGTATTTCTGTGATGTCAGTTGTAATGTCTCCATTTTCATTTCTAATTGAGCTTATTTGAATCTTTTCTTTGTTAATCTAGCTAATGGTCTATCAATTTCATCTTTTAAAACACCCAACTTTTTGTTTCGTTGGTCTTTTTTGTTCCAATTTCATTTAGTTCTGCTTTAATCTTTGTTATTTCTTTTCTTCTGCTAGCTTTGGGTTTGGCTTGTTATTGTTTCTATAGTTTCTTGAGGTGTGACATTAAGATGTCAATTTGTGATTTTTCAACCTTTTTGATGCAGGCATTTAGTGCTATAAACTTTCCTCTTAGCACTGCTTTTGTTGTATCCCAGAGGTTTTGATAACTTGCATCATTATCATTTATTTTAAATAATTTTAAAATTTCCATCTTGATTTCATTGTTAACTACCAAGTCATTCAGGAGCAGATTGGTTAATTTCCATGTATTTATATAGTTTTGAGGATTTCTTTTGGAGTTGTTTTCTGAGAAGATACTTGATTTTTAAAAATTTATTGAGGCTTGTTTTGTGGCCTATCATATATTGTATCTTGGAGAATGTTCCATGTGCTGATGAGAAGAATGTAAATTCTATAGTTCTTGAGTAGAATGTTTTGTAAATATCTATTAGGTACATTTGTTCTAGAGTGTAGTTTAAGCTTGTTGTTTCTTTGTTGACTTTCTGCCTTGATGATCCGTCTAGTGCTGTCAGTGTAGTGTTGAAGTTCCTCAGTATAACTGTGTTGCTGTCTGTCTCTTTCCTTAGGTATAGTAATACTTGTTTTTATGAATCTGGGACTCCAGAGTTAGCTCCATATATGTTTAGGATTGTAATATCTTCTTGTTGGATTGATTTTTTATCATTTTTAATGACCTTATTTGTCTTTTATTTTTAGTGTTGCTGCTTTAAAATCTGTTTTCTCTGATATAAGAATACCTACACCTGCATGCTTTTGGTTTCTGTTTGTGTGGAATATCTTTTTCCATCCCTTTACCTTGAGATTATAAGAATCCTTATGTGTTAGGTGAAGCTCTTGAAGACAGCATATATTTGGTTTGTGATTTTTTAAATCCATTCTTCCTATTTGTATCTTTTAAGTGGAAGATTTAGATCATTTACATTCAACATTAATATTGAGACGTGATATATTGTTTCAATCATCATGTTAATTACTACCTAGATACTTTGATTTCATCATTTTGTTATTGTTTTGTAAACCCTATGAGTTTTATGCTTTCAAGAGGTTCCATTCTGATGTATACTGAGCCTTTACTTTAAGGTTTAGAACTCCCTGTAGCATTTGTGGCAGAATTGATCTGGTAGTGACAAATTCCCTCAGCATTTGCTTGTCTAAAAAATATATTATTTCTCCTTCATTTATGAAACTTAGTTTTGCTGGATACAAAATTCTTGGCTGACAGTTATTCTGTTCAAGGAGGCTAAAGATAGGATCCCAATCCCTTCTGTCTTATAAGGTTTCTGCTGGGAAGGGAAGTCTGCTGATAGTCTCATAGACTTTCCTTTATAAGTTACTTGTTGCTTTTGTCTCACTGCTCTTAGAATTCTTTCCTTCACATTGACTTTAGAAAGCCTAATGACTATATGCCTTGGTGATGTCCTTTTTGTAATGAATCTCCCATGAGTTCTTTGAGCTTCTTGGATTTGGATATCTAAAACTCTAGCAAGAGCAGGAAAGTTTTCTTCAATTATTCCCTCAAATCAGCTTTCCAAAGTTTTTGCTTTCTCTTCTCCCTCAGGAATACCAATGATTCTTAGATATGACTGTTTTACATAATTGCATATTTCTTGGATACTGTTCCTTTCTTTTAATTCTTTTTTCTTTGTTTTTATCCCATCAGGTATTTTAGTTGTTTATTTTGCTTTCAGTCTTCATTTCTCTGAAGGTTATATTTCTACTTTTGATTTTTTCAATTTTAGACAGTACCTATGATTTTCTTCTGTGAAAATTGAGTTGTTGGTTTTTTTATACACACACTTTCCTGCCCTCCACAACCAAACCTCCATATACAGCTCAATTTTACTTTGGTTAAATAATGCCGGGTGTGGTGGCTCACCCCTGTAATCCCAGCACTCTGGGAGGCTGAGGCGGGCAGATCCATGAGGTCAGGAGTTTGAGACCAGCCTGGCCAACATGGTGAAACCATATCTCTACTAAAAATACACAAATTAGCTGGGCGTGGTGGTGGGCACCCGTAATCTCAGCTACTTGGGAGGCTGATGCAGGAGAATTGCTTGAACCCGGGAGACAGAGTTTGCAGTGAGCCGAGATCATGGCACTGCACTCTAGCCTGGGTGACAGAGCAAGACTCCATCTCAAAAAAAGAAAATTTAGTTAAATCATTATTCAGTGTTTGCCTTGTTACAATTACATAAATTATCTTGATAGAAGAAACAAGTATTTTATTTTGTAGTAAACCAAGATAAAAGTTTTCCTGCAAAACCTTTTTATCTGAATTTTATGGTTGTTTTGGTTTTTTATTTGCTTAGTTGTCTATGTACTTATCACTAATCTCTACTCTTAACCAGTTGTCTAAATCTACTCTTGATACATTCAGACATATAAGATACTAATTTCACATTCTTTAGTAAACATTCCCTAGAGACTTCCGACCTCTTCCAATCTGGACAGATTGTCCTTACTGCTCAATTGTCCTTTCAGGAGCTCTCTTTACCATTACCCAGTGGATTCTATTCTCTCTCAATCCTGTATGAATCTTCTGTTTCCTAATCTTGTGTTCCTCATTTTGGTGGAGTACATCTTCCATTAATTTTCTGAGAAAAAGGGCAGGTAGGTGCATATTTTGAGACCTTGAATGTCTAAAAATATTTTTAACCTAACCTCATATTTGATTTATAGTTTGAGAGGGTAAATCATTTATAGGTTATTTAAAAATTTTTTTCAAAAATTTGTGGCATTTTTCCTTTCTGTTCAATTCCTATAAAGGCACATATATTTTTGTTTCATTCTTACTCCTAAGAAGTAACCCTTTGGGTTCCAACAGAAAATCTAGAGTGATTACTACAATCTCTCATCTTTGGTGAACTATAACTTTTGTCTCCTGTGACCCCATGAAACTGTTAAAAACTCTGCTCAGCTTCTCAGCTACTTATCTCTACTTATGTTTTCAACTTTTCAGCTACCATTTTCAAGTTGGCAGATGTCACAAGAGAAAAAGCAGTGCCAGAAGTCCAGTACCTCCTTGGACTTCCCTTCATTTTGGGATATTTGCTCCACAAATATTCACTGTTTTACTGCCTTCATAATTATATGATGACTTCATACTGATTAGACAGGTGACAGATGAATAGATGATAGAAAGATAGAAAAAGAGATAAGTATTCTAGCATTTCTCAATAAAAGAAATTGTTCAAAACCAGCTAATCCAATTTTGTCTACCTTTCCAATAGTGAAAACTCCTCTCAATATCAAACTGCTTCTTAATCACATTTCCAAGCAATTCTGTTCTAACCTCACTTTCAGCCTCATTTCCAGAAATACTTGTTCTTTCCATTCTTGAGTTTTCTGTGTCTCTGTGGGATAAATGGGGTTTCTTCTCTGTTTCCTCCAATTATGGCTAACTTCTAATTCAAAATTTTTGGCTTTGCTAATTTATTACTACTTCTTCATCTGCTTTTTAGCTTGTAACCTTATATTGCTGCTTTCTATTTTCTTTTTCTCTTTTACTTGTGGGTCAAATTTAGTAGTTTTTGAGTCAGTGTAATGCCTCAGTTTACCAAATTCTTAACTAATTTTACCTATTTTATTTAAAAATGTTCATTTTAAGGCTATAAATCTTCCTCTAAGAATTGCTTTAGCTGCATTCCATAAGATTCAAGATACATTATTTTAGTTTTAAATTTTCATTATTATAATGATTAGTTATAACATTTCAAAAATTATTAAAATTTATTCATTTTTCTATTAATTATTTTTAAGTTTCTTATATAAATTTCAAAATATTTCAGGTTTGATTATATTTTCCATATTGATCTCTTATTTTTATTACATTTTGGTCAGAACATTTTTTAATATAATATCAATTACAGTATTTGAAATATATTGAGATTAACTTTGCAGCATTTGTATAGTCAATTTTCATGACTGTTCCATGTGTACATGAAAGGATTATATATTTTTGAATTGTTGGATATAAAACTCTATCAATTAAATCAAGCTTTTACTTGGATTATTAAATTCTCAACATCTTTTACTACTTTTTTGGTCTAGTTGATCTGTTAATTACTGAGAGAGGTATAAAGGTAGCAATTTTTAATCTCTCCTTTTAATTCTGTTAATTTGCTTTATACCTTTAGGGCCAAATTTGTTGAAGGTGTAGGATTGTTTTATCTTCCCAGTGAATTGTTCCTTTTATTATGGTCTATTGATCTTTATTTTTCTCTTTTTGCCTTAAAGTCTACTTTGCTTACATTTAATAAAATTATATTAGCTTTCATGTGGCTAGCATTTGACTTGAAATATCTATTTCCATCCTGATAGTGTCAACATTTCTATCAGTATCTTTTAGGGTGTCTTTTGAAACTGTAAATGTGTGGACTTAAAAAAATATTATCCAATCTGAGACTATCATTTTTAACTGGTGTATCTGATTTGTATAAGTGTATTGTTATTACTTGAAATACCTGAATTTTTTACAACCTATTTTGTCCTTCATATTTACTTGATATCCTGTTTCTTTTTTCTACTTTCCTATATTGAGCTATTTAAATTCTTTTTTTCTACTGTTTTGAAAGTTTTGCCTTCTATCCCCATACTTGTAATGTGTATGTGAATTAACACAGACAAAAACTAAGCAATACCTCTAGTTTTAAGCAGTACAAATCTGGTTTAAATAATGCACTAATTTCAATTTTCCCCACCTTAATTATTACGGTGAAGCATTTTAGTCCCATCTCTCTTTTTTTTTTTTTTTTTTTTTTTTTTTTGGTAAAATCCCTGCTAGTCTGTATAATTATTATTGTTTTACTTAGTCAATGTTTGCTTAGATTTGCCCAGATATTTACCATTTTCTCCAAACACCACTGCTTGTTTCATTGCACACATTTATTCTGGGTTTCAGTTTCTTCTTTCTGAAATATATCCTTTATTAATTCTTTCAGAGGGAGTCTGGGAGTAATAGATTCTCTTCATCTTTGTTTTTCTAAAATTTTTCTTCAATTTTCTCTATTGAGTAATAATTTATCTGGTTATAATATTATTACTTTGAAATTATTATTTTTCTGTCTTCAAGCTCTCATTGTTGTGGAATGTTTGTGATGGTCTGATAGTTATACATCTTTGGATATTTTGTCTTTTCTTTTTGGTTGCTTTTAAAGTTTTATCTTTGTATATGGTGTTCCACAATTTCACTACCATATATTCAGGTAGAAAGTTTTGTATTTATCCTGATTGGGAATCATAATGTTTCTTCAATTTGGGGATTTATGTCTTTTATAAATTCTGGGAAATTTTCTGCCTTTATCTTCCCATTATTTGAAAATATTGTCTTTTTCTATTTTCATTGTGATACCATTCTTAGAATCTGCTTATTGCACCCATCCTACAAATATCCTGATATCTTTCTTTTTTAGTTCTTTTTATCTGTTAGTACTGAATTCTGGATAATTCCTCAGATCCACCTTTTATTTCCATTTTTTTCTTTATCTATGCCTAATTCATGTTCATGTTCAATATTCTGTGGAATTTCTAAACATTTGGCAATTATAAATAAAGCTACTATAAACATCAGTGTGCATGTTTCCACTTTTTAATAAAAGCAAAATAAACCAGAAAAAAATGGGCTGTTCAAGGAAACACACACATATGTATATAAACAATAAATGTGACCTTGTATACCTATGATGATAATAGTTGACATTTATTTGGTACTTACTTTTTTCAGTCACAATGCTAAGGCTTTTACATATGTTACCTTATTTAATTCTCACACAATCCTATTTAAAACATGATCAAAATTTAAACCAACTACTGCTTGGATATGTAATGAAAATGTAGCATCCGTAGATCTCTAACTAATCTAAGTTTTATGACCTTTCACCCAGCTGAAGAGGGGTCCAAATGGGTGGGTGGAGAGAGATTGAACGTGGTAGTTTTCAGTATGTTGGTTTCTTACCTAGTAAAGGACTTTGCACTTTGGAGGGACTCAATAAGTATCAGTGATTGAATGAATGTTGACAAGATACAATATTAAATAGTCCAAGCTACAATGTGTTGAGTGTAGTACATACAACTAGTGCTGGGTGCTTTATATAAACATCTTCTCCCTTAATCCTTATAACAGAGAGCTTGCAAGATAAACATTTTAAAGAAGAAACAGGCTAAGTGACATGTCCAACTTCTCACAATTGGTAAGTGAGAGAACTATATTTAAATCATAGTCAAGAACACTGTCAGTGCACTACCTCCCAATAACCTCAAGTGGGCTGTAAAATTATAAGGTGGGTGCCCTGCTCTGGAGATGCATTTGAGATCATCTAGAGTTCCTGCATTTTTCAGATTAGAATATGTTACTGATGTCAAGTTCCCAGGCCTTCTGAGATTGCTCTGGGGACCAATAAGGGTGCCCTTGGTGAGTCATAGTAGAGTGTTCACACACCTCTCAGGTATTCAAATGGTTTGGCAGAATTTCCATTTCTCTTGTTAAACCTCTGACTTACTCTGCCTACCATAACCTAACCTAATTGAATTAGCTTTTGATAAAATGTCATACATTTTTAATCTAGTTATTTTATTCTGTGTATAGCTCTCAGAAAAGGGAAAATTAAGACACAAAGACTGTGAAGTGTAAGCATATTAGTTTGTTTATAAGTTTGTATTAACAAGTATTTAAAGCCCAGTTCAAATCATTTCACCTCTAATAAACCCTTTCAGATTCCCTTATCTTTTCCTTCAAACTTCTATAGCACATTGCTTGTAGTTCAGTACTTATCATAGACTACTTTTTATTAAAATTATTTATGTGCCCCCTCCTACCTAAATTGTGAGTTCCTTATGTATCAAGACCACCTCTTACTCTTCTTTGGTACCTCATGGAATCTAGCACCATTCTTTGTATATGGAATTTATTTAACAAGTATTTGTTGAAGTGATCCAAATATGTTTATATTCAAAGTTTAACATGAACTCCTATTCCAGTTTAGATTACCATATCACAGCCTGATTTTTATAGTTTGGTTTTTGAAATATTAGCCTGAGAACATTTCATTCTTTCAGTTTCTATTGTTATTTGTTTATTCGTTTGTTTGTTTAACAATATTCACAGGATTAAAACAAATCCCAGAGCTTGGCATCTTTCCAAATACACCAATAGCTGCTTTGCCCTTTTTAGTTGCATTGAACTCAGTCAACCTAATCTTCCACAAAGCCCAATGGTGAGAAGTGAGCCGATTGGTGAAGTTGTAGAGATTATTGGTTTATAATTGCTCCATATCTCCCATGATGAGCTTTCTCTTTCTCACTATGACTTCTGAAAATTCCTTGCCTTATCACCTCTGGGCAGAGTGGGTGCCATGTAGTAGGCACTCAATTAACGTTTAATGATTTGAGTTGAATTACTCTTAGTTCCTGGACCCATTTACCAGATCCAAACAGGTGCATCCTAGAAAGCTCTATGATAAAGAGTTAATCTCTCAGCGAAAAACCAGAGAGGGCCCCTACTTTGTGACCAACCCAGTGCCAAATGTAGTCTGAAAAGTCTTCTTTAAAACCACAAATTAAACATCTCACCATGGTTCTGTTCTGCAACATTGTAAAATTCCTTCTACATCCAAATGATGTTCAAACATTTTAAAATCAAAAAATTAATTTGGCAACTAAAACGATTCTTGGTATGTTTCTAAATAATTACTGAAACTTATTTTTTCTTAAACTCAACCAATATATTTGGGAATGATGATGGCCAAGCGGTATGGATAAATTTGGCTGTGACTTATTAAACTGTCCTTGCAAGCAGTCTAGATATCCCCATTGAAAAATGAAGCAGCAATGTGCACATGACAAATGCAGTCCTTTCTGATTCAATTTTTTTCACCAACCTTCTCTGTGATGCTCCTACCTAGCTGCTGACTTCACATACTTGAAGGGTTGTCATGGGAAATATTAGACTTGTCTGTCTAGACTCAGGGCTAAAACTAGAAACAAATGCGTAGAAGTTACAGAGACACAGTTTTCAGTTTAATATTTTACAAAAGTTTTAATTATGTGCATAGATGTTTTTCTCATAGTCTAACAGCATAATTTTGTAGGAATATGGAAAATACGGAAAGTCACTCATAATTCCTTCAACCAGAAATAATTACTATTTTGATGACTATCATATATGTACTTTTCTTTAACAAAAGAATTCTCTCTCATTAGAACAATCCTTAAATGGATTGGGCCATATGGGAAGGCAGAGGCACCCCATCTTTGGAGGTCTGCAAACAGCAGCTAACCTCTCTGCCAAGACTTTAGGTGGAAAGTTGGACACATGAACCCTTGTAAACCTATGAGCTTTGGAGCCTGGGGGGCCCATACAGTGATTGTGAGGGGTCTTCAAATCCATATATATTTTTATCTGCTCCTTCAATGAATGGCACAAATGTTACTAACAGTAAAAGTGGTCCTTATGTTGGAAGTTTTAGGAAGCAATTGACTAGAAAATCTTTAAGGCACCTTCCTCCTTACAAGCTTAGGAGAAAGCCGGTTTCTCTTCCACGCACTGTGCTCATCAGCATTAGAGGTCTTTGCACATTGAGCCCTTAAATGAACTAGCACTTCCCAGGCTTTAAACCACACAGCCCTTCGACTAGACACTACTTTATTTTGATTTCATGGATGAAGAACTGAGATTTGGGGAAGTGAGGTAACTTACTTAGCCATTCCATGAAGGAAAAATATTGTTTTTCCGACGACTGTGCAGACTCCACCTCTGGCTCTGAAAGAAAGTCTGCAACGCAGGAGTAGCGCTGGGGTAGTGCACGTGAACACCCAAATTAATTCGTCCACATCGCCCAAAAGTCCCAAAGGGAGAGCCAACCCCGTGCCCCTGCCACCCCAGCTCATTCAGTCCTGCGGTACTCTGGGAACCTGGGCTTTCCTGGCGCCAGGCAGGAGCCACATTGCCCGTCCCAGGTGCCTCACGCCGGGACCCTCTAGCCCTGCGTGCCAGGCAGTTCTCAGCTCTGAGTAGGCGGCATTTTCCGGCTCACATCCCGGCAGAGAGCACACAGACCTGGGAATGGTTATCGGCCGAGAGCTGCAGGCGAACAGCTAATCCAGTCCTGGAAGGGGGCACTGGTAGTTAAGCCCTTTAATGGCCACAGTCCTATTACAATTAGTCCTGGCCTGGAGCTAGCGAACAGCGAGCCCCTCTAACCTGAAACGGAGCCTCATCCACTGCTTGGCGCTAATCCTCTGCACAATGAAAGCCGAACTAATTCACTGGGTAAACACCCTCTCCAGTTACTTACAAGCTGTCTTACTTCAGCCCTAAACCAAATAGAAAGGCGGTCAGTGACTGGGAAAAAAATCAAATATTTACGAACTCATTTTGCCTGAAACCGCCCCTGGGATGCTTGCTTATCGCTCACGGGATCGCTTTATGCTGCTGCTTTTGTGACAGGCGGCTACTGTGCAAAGGAGGCAACAGCCACCTGAGAGGGATTTCCCTGGCTTGGTCTTTCTCTGGTCTCTTGGTAGCTGAACCAAATCACAGCCTCTGAATATAGGACTAGGCACATAATAGGTGCTTAAAAAATGATCAACAAAGATCAGCTTCTGCCTTTAACTCAGAAAGTGGTTCCTAAAGTATTCTAGGCCAGTGGTCCCCAAACTCTAGCGTGCACCAGAATCACCCAGAAGCTTGTAAGAACTCAAATTGCTGGGCCCCAACCTCACAGTTTCTTATTCAATAGGTGGGGAAAGACAATTTTCATTCTAACAAGTTCCCCACGAAACCGTTGATCTAGAACACGGATCCATAAACCTTTATTTTTTGTAAAAAGCCCAATAGTAAATGTTTTAGGCTTTGTAGACCACACAGTGTCTGTCCCAGGTACTCAGCTGCACCATTGTAGTGCAAAAACACCCATAGACAATACTTAAATGAGTGAACATGTAAGAACATGTAATTTTCATGTTGCGAACGATTCGAATTTAGATTCCCGCCCCCACCCCCAATCCCCAACAAACACTTAAAAACGTAAGTTCCTTCTTAGCTTGCAGGCCATACAAAGCAGGTGATGGGCCGGACGTGGCTCTTAGACAATTGCTTGCTGACACTGTGGTCTCTAGAATGATTTTGGTTAGATAAATAACTGATGATGGCAGAAACAATGGCTCAGGGACTGAAAACAGAAAAGACAGAAATAATTTCTTTAAGAAAAATTATTCTATGCCTATAAACCCAATTTCTCATGCTTATAAACCTGACTTACAAATATTCAAGATAATTCTATTGTATATCAGGTGCTGTTCTAGACATTGGGGTTAGAATGGAAGAAAAACCAGATCTGCCTCCATCCACATGAATTCTATGTTGCTGGACAATGGGTACTGGCTTTGCACGGAGCTCAGAGACTATGATATACAAATTTACAGGTCAGGTGCCCAAAAGCCCAATAGTAAATATTTTAGGCTTTGTAGACCACACAAATTCTGTGCTCCTGAGAGTACGGAATTGCCTGAATTAATCAGCTAACTACAGTTAGGAAATGCACACCATGAGCACAGCCCTATTGTAAGCATGGTGAAGACAGATTGAGAAAAACAGAGATTTGACCCTGGGCGTGAATGTTAGTAGTTACATTTTTCTCAATGCCAAGCATCTTGTCTTTAAGAAACAGAAACAATTATGTCCAAAACTTTCAGTAGAGGGTGACATTAATATGAGAAGATTCCTTATTCAAAAAGCCAAGATGAAAGCAAAATCTCATGTTCTAGAGTAAGACATAGAAATTGTTCTTCTTTGAAAAGGAAGATTCAAAATATCTATATTCCTGTGCTCGGAGTAAGCAGGACTTCTTAAAACAAATGTTGCCATGTTTATTCTGTTTTAATCTGGAAAATCAGAAAAGCAGCATTAGAACATTAGTGAGATTTTTATCTTTCACAAATTTAACTAAAGGAAAGAAGTATTTAGGTAACCACCATCAACATACAAGGGTCATCTTTTAAAAGCAAGTCATTTGTTCAAAAGTGTCAATTCTTTCCAAAGAAATTTTCTACAGCAGTTTTCACAGATCTTCAGGATTAAATTGCAATTGTTAAGCTTCTTTTGGACCTGCCCTTGATCTGATTTTGGGTTTCCTGGAGTGTAAGGATAAGGTGCATCATCCCTTGGACACAGATGTGGACTCCAGTGAATGGTTATGCATTAGTATATTTTCAATCAATATTCACTGAGCTCCACTGGGTGCCACACATTCATCTGCATCCTAGATATGAATTGCCTGGGGGCAAATGAGACAGACCCCTGCCCTCTAGTGGTTTACAGTTTAATGCTAGAGACAAGCAGGCAGGCGGGCAAACATGAGTAGGTGGCATTGGCATTGTGTCAACCTGGAATGATAGTCATCACAGAATACAGAGAATCATGGAATGGGTGTAGGTTTTTAAGTCAGGCAGAACTTAGTTTGAATTCTGGCCATGATAATTTCTAATTTTGTGACATTGTGCAAATTATTTTACCACTCTGAGCCTCATTCCCCTCATGTTAAATGGAAAGAGCACTCTTCAAAGTCAAAGGGGTGGTTATCAGAATTAAAGGATAAACTGTAACTAGCATGTCTAGCACACATCCTGGAACTTGCCAGAAGCCCAATAAATATTAGTTCTGTCTCTTTCAAATATGTGTCAATGTTATTTGTGAAAATTGCTTATTTTACCTGAGCTCTGTGACTGCCCTCAAGTGTTCAGAAATACAAAATTATTGTGGACTATGGTGTGGGACTTGGGGTATAGGGCTCCCAAGAACGGCATTATGCTCAAATCTCTGTTTGACTTTTCAGAGATGTGGGTTAGCATGTGAACCTACAGGAGTCCAGAGGGATGGAAAGTGTGCAGCTCCAAGCCAGGGAGGGGCTAAATCAAGATGGGGCAGGTCAAAATCCACCTTGTCAAAACAGGGTTGATTCTGGAGTTGAGGAGTCAGGAGGCATGCAGTGGTCTTCACCAACCAGTTCTCTGCCCCCAGTTGGGCATCTCATGAGTATGTAGTGGCCCTGGGTCCAAGGAAAAGGGGTACAAAAGTGAAAGAAGGGAAGAATAGCACCAAGGGCAAGTTAAAGGCTGCAAGACACTAGGGGCTCAGGTGCCAGAGACCAGACAGGGACTACAGGTGCCATCGTGGCATGTCCCAGGGCCATGAAAAGTAGGAACCAGGCAGAGAAGAGCAGACAGTCTTGATAGTCAGCAACTGCTTCCAGCCAGCCTTCAATAGGCCACCAGTGACTCCCTTGCCACTGAACCATCAGCCTTTCTCCACTCACCTGACAGTAGGACATTTACTGCTCACCTGCAGCCATTCTGGCACTCCAAACTTTAATTTCTAATTTCTAGTTTACCTGATCTGCCTTTGTTTTGAGATTTTCTTCATTTCACAATTTGACTTTTCTTTTTTTTTTTCTTTCTTTCTTTTTTTTTTTTTTTTTTTTGTTGAGGTGGAGTCTCACTCTGTCACCCAGGCTGGAGTGCAGTGGCGTGATCTTGGCTCACTGCAACTTCTGCCTCCCAGGTTCAAGCGATTCTCCTGCCTCAGCCTCCTGAGTAGCTGAGATTATAGGCATGTGCCATGACACCCTGCTAATTTTTTTTTTTTTTAAGTACAGACGAGGTTTCCTCCTGTTGGCCAGGCTGGTCTTGAACTTCTGACCTAAAGTGATCTGCCAGCCTTGGCCTCCCAAAGTGCTGGGATTACAGGCATGAGCCACTGGACCTAGCCCACAGTTTGACTTTTCTTAACTTTATATTCTGATTTTGGCTGCCTATTTTGACACTCTACTCTGCTTAAACTCTCACCTAAGTCCTTGAGGTTGGGGACTGGAGCCCTGGAGGCCCATACTGGGCTGGGCTAAGATTATCTGGCCCTAGCTGTGGTAATGGAGGCAATGGCAATCTGAGAGACTGTGTCTGGGGTGAAATTAAAACCAAGCACATAATCCACACTGGTCATCAATGGGAAGGAGCCAAGCTATCACAAAAGAAGAGAGGGCAGGCAGAGGATATTTTTATAGCATGGTAGAAAAAAGCTGTTATAGGCACTGTGTTGTTTTGGATACACCCATGACCCCATGTTCTCTGACTAAACCATGCCAGCATGAACTTAAACAGGACAGAATCACCATTCTGTTTCAGGCTTCTTGAATATGCTGTGGGATATCACATCTTGGGACTGCTCTGAGGTTGCAATACTTTTCCTATAGCTAAAACTGGGTCCCAGACTCAGCTAATGCTATAAATGAAACCAGCCTGCTCTCAGGATTTCCACCCTCTTAACCTCCAAGAGCATGCATTCTGAGGGATCTCATTATTGGGAGGCAACTGCAGAGACTCTTCTTGTTCACTGGGATCATGGGGCTCTCTTCTCAGCCCATTGTTTGAAGCCTTGCCTGTTTGAACATTTGAACCCATTGAACATTTGTCAAAGAAGTGGCATATCAGGATACAAGGAGCTCTCTTTTTGTTCATGCGTGTCTACCTTCGTGTCACAACTCTTGAGTTGTTTGGGGGTCACATTCATCAGAAAGCCAATTGAGGGAGGTGGTAGAGGTCTTCCCAATTGCTGGTTTTCTGCATCTTCAACTATGAATTGGATTACACTACTGAGTCAGAGGGGCAGGAATAATTGTGCGGTCTACATTGCTGAATCCTTATTGGGTGCCTTCAGTGTAGAAAGACAGCACTGGGTCACATTAGATAGATCTTAGAAGTAACCAGGGAAACCTGAAAATTTCAGGCTTTGATGGACGCAGGACTGTCATCTTTGCCTTTGGAATCTGCACACCTCGTGATCTGTTAACTAAAATGAGCTTACAAAGTTAAGGCTATGCTTTGAAGCCTTAGCTACGTGAGGTTTTTTGTTTTTTGTGTGTCCCTGATATGGTTTGGATGTTTTGTCCTTTCCAAATCTCATGTTAAAATGAAACCCCCAATATTGGAGACAGGGCCTGGCAGGAGGTATTTGGATCATGGGAGCGGATCCCTCGTGAATGGCTTTGTGCCACCCTCAAGGCGATGAGGGAGCTTTTGCTCAGTTAGTTTACACGAGATCTGGTTATTTAAAAAGCATGGTACTTTCCCTTCCCCTTTTGTGCCTGCCATTACCATGTAATACACTGGGTCCTGTCACCTTCTGCCATAATTGTAAGTTCCCTAGGGCCTTCACCAGAATCAGATGGCAGCACCAAGATTCCTGTATAGCCTGCAGAATCACGAGCCAAAATAAACCTCTTTTCTTTATAAATTACCCAGCCTCAGGTATTTCTTTATAGCAACACAATAGCAGATTCACATAGTCCCTAAATTTCACTGAAGCCCAGAGGAGGCAGGATCAGGGTTAAGGAGAGGGTGTGAGGGTGGCTGAGCGTACTCCTTCCCTACCTCCCCAATAGTTTGGTTGTTAACTTCTGATTCTCAACTTTAGATGCATAACTCAGAAGCCCCCTAGAGGCTCAGTTCCCTCCTCTATGAGGAGGATGGAGCTAATGAGACTGACCTGTGTTTTAGGATTGTGCTGAGGATTGAGTGAACTAATGGATGGAAAGAACTCTTTCAAAGTACTGCACACGTACAAGATATTATATTTAAGTGCCTAATGACTAATTTTACATGAAAATAACAATGTTATTTCATACTTTCATGGAATTTTCCAGATTTTTGTTAGACAAGTTAATCTTCTATTCTGTTATCTACTCTGTCATCCGAAAGAGAGACTCTTAACCTCCTCAGGAAATTTAGTGAACAATAAAACAAGACATAAAGGCACAATCTGGATATCTATGGTCCAAAGACTTGTCTAAAGTATGAACTTCTTATAGAAAGCTTAAATCAGGTGTAATCAAACAAAATCTCACTTGTGGTGGGGACTGTTTTTTTCATTATAAGGATGACGGACTTAGGGGAAAATAACTTCTATTATTGTTATTATTTTTATAGATGGCATCTGGTTGGCTATTGCCCAGGCTGGAATGCAATGGTGTGATCACTGCTCATTGGAGCCTCCAACTCCTGGGCTCAGGTAATCCTCCCACCTCAGCCTCCTGAGTAGCTGAGACTACAGGCACATAGCACCACCCCTGGTTACTTTTATTTTTTGTAGAGATGGGGTCTCACTATGTTGACCAGGCTGGTCTTGAACTGGCCTCAAGTGATCCTCTCGCTTTAGCCTCCCAAAGTGCTGGGATAAAAGGTATGAGTCACTGTGCCCAGCTCCACTTCTGTTATTATTGAAGGAAATGTAAAGTTATATTATTACACACAATGCTGCTCCTCTGGGCATTTTTCACATACACATTTATATCTGCCTATTTATCAGTGTTTGAATCCTTTAAGTGGCTCTCATCTAGTATTTTTTTTTAAGTAGGTATCGAACAATGTGCCCATCAGACCAGAATAGACCTCCTTCCTAGGAGGACAAAGCCAACAGCCCTTTTTCTGATAAGAATAGTTCAGAAAACTGAATGCTGGAGGATCTGTGGTCAGCCTTTGGCAGTGACCTGAAAACATCCACTTACTCATCTCAGGAACCAAGACAAAGTACCATTACCCCATTGCCAAAGCTTCCAAAGGCCCACTCTCTTAGGAGGGTGGAAGAAACCAAGGACTTGGAGGCCAAAGCCTACACTTTAGTCCTGGCCATGCCACTTAATAGCTTGATCACTTTAGGGAGATCTGTTAACTCCTTTAGAAGTTCAGGTAACTCATCTGTAAGTTAGTAATAATTTAAAAACTGCCTCACTTTCTGCACAAGGGCTATTATAAAAACAATACCTGGGAAAGAACTTTTAAAATTATAATATACAAAGAAATTGTTGGCATCAATATTGGCCTAATGGAAAACTTGCCTTGCCTTCTCTAAGACCAGTGCTTGTGATATTATGTTATTATTCTCACATTATTATGATAATCCCTAAACACTGGGAAGTCTCTGTCCTTGAATCTATTTCCTCCTCTAAATATGAAGGCAAGGATTTCAGCTCCACCATTTTACAGGGAAATTGGGATAGTTACAATGCAATATCAGCGTGAATGATTTGTCAACTGTAAGACCATCTATACATTAGGATTCAGAGGCAAGGGTCCTTAATCAATAGGACTTTATAGGCACTTGGTAGTACCAGGATATGCACATCTTGCTATAAGTGGATGCAGCCAAGAATGACCCAGTCAGCAGCTACTGTCCTGTCTTACTGAACAACCATCAAAACCTGATTTGCCATCAGAAATGAGTCACCAGGCAGGGGCTGGAAGGGGCAGGGTCCTAGAGACCTCTTAGACATGTCACATGGGGACAACAGGCAGGAAAGGGTCCCTCAGCAAGTAATATAAAAGCATCTGGCTAGAGTATGGCATTAAGGGCAGTTAAAGGCAGGCAGCAGGGGCCACCCAGGCTAGGATGGACATTAGGGAGTTCCAAGTGGGGACATTGAGAGGGTGATGTATTCAGTCTGGAGAACAGCAGTAAGAATGGATATGAATGTTCACATTCTGATTCTAAGAAGACATGACTGTAGGGATCAGGTATAACTGGATTGGTGCACGGGGTAGACACTGGGAAGGAAGCTCAAACAAAGGCAGGCATCATGGAACAAGATTAGGGCCCTGAGATACAAGGCGATGGTTTAGACACAGAAAATAAGGTTAGAGATATAGTCCTCAAACCTGAGTTTCAGACTAGAGTGTAAACAGCAAGTCCTGCAAGGCTGAAAAATAGGGAAACTGCTTGGAACTTGACGGATACAGAGCAAAGATAAGCCTGAGACTTAAGTGGAAGTAGTTGAAAAAGAGCTATGAGGATAATTTGGCCAAGGGTGGGCTTTCAAACATCATGTATTTCTGGATAAATAATCACATAGCATAATCCTTGGCTGGAATAGCAGGGGCAGGTTCTACAGTGGCTGGGTGGTCAGTGCCAGAATAACAGGGTAGAGTGAGTCTGGACAAGTTTAGCTAAGTTAGACTTGCTACAGACACTGGCCCCAAAGAGGGCAAGATAGACACCCCAGTGGGCCAGAGTTAGTGCCAACAAGGACTCATTGGGGTCTGAGGTTTTTGTTTTTGTCATGAAGCTCTGGTCCTGCCCCTGGGGCAACCTTCCTCCAGGGACCTCAGGCCTGGGGTAGCTGAAGATGTTGAGTCTCCTGGAGAAGATGCATCCCCCTAGTCTAGCAGGAGCCTTTACTTTCCAGTACTCATGTCGTGGGCATGTTCCTCAAGGCCTGGATCTCTCTCTTAGGGCCAATGGCTAGTTGTTACCTAATATTCACTCTCCCTTTCCTTAATAACGAACCCTGATTTTGTTGGGGCTGATGGTATTGCTGACATTTAAAACAACACAACACACATTGCCAAGTTTTCTTAATGGATAGGAGTGGCTGTGTGATGTTCTGATAAATCAGGTACAAGCTGAAGATGATGGGAGAAGGATTTCCTGAACACTGGAAGTTGTTGAGTAGTGTGCTTCTAGGAATGTGCCTTAAAGGGAGAGATGACTCCCTGCACATGTGCCCTTTTACAAGTTCCTCTTTACCCCTTATCTTTCTCCTTCCCTCTTCTCCTTTCTCCCAACCAAGTACTAACCAGACCCAACCCCGCTTAGCTCCTGAGATCAGAAAAGATCGGGTGTGTTCAGGGTAGCATGGCCATGGACTCTCCTTTCTCTTTTCCTCCTCTTCCTTCTTCTTTCTTCCTGCTTCTTTTCTGGAATTTTGATATGATTGCCAGAGCTACACTAACTATTTCATAACCATGAGGCAACCCTGAGGTTAGAAACCATGCTCTAAGGATTGTAGAGCATCAGCAACAACAGCCCTACATGCCAACCACCAGAATTCACATAAGGGAATAAGTTCGTTTTATTGAAGTGACCGTAGTTGGGTACCTGTACTTTGCAACTGAACCTAATCCTGATTAATACACATATCTTCCAGCTGAACCGCTTATTTCAGGTGGGAGGTTGGATGGAGGGAGGAAGAGTCTCTTTCATTTTAGGAGATCTGTTGCATTTAGTCCTTATCATCAATGAATAACATGATTTTTAGTGACGAGTTTCCTGATTCAGTTGTCCTCTCAACTGGTGGGCATTCCAGACTGCCTGGAGGACCTAGCAATAAGTTTGGAACAAGCAGAAGCAGACACTTGCCCCAGAAGCTCCATCTGGAACTCACCACCTGCCTGCCCATCTCTTGGTTTGGCCAGAGAAGTCTCTGCTCTAGGGGCCACTCACCTGGGCTCCCATTGAACCTGATGAATTTTCCCATTCTTGCTGAGGTTCCTCCTGATTTAGAATATCTATTTTGAATGGTGGAGGAATTCTGACAAAAATCCTTCTCTCTGACTCCAAAGTCTGTATTGCATAGTCAGTCTCTTGGTAGAATTTATGTATCAGGAAGGAACATAAATGGGTGATTTATTTAAATTAAGCACTCATGGTCTACAAAGTGAAACTTTCGGAGGGCCTGATACTTCCTGATCACATCTCTAGATATGGGTCTTCTTGACTTTTGAAAATTTAGTTCTCTGGCTCTGAATCTATCCCTGCTAGTTCTTTAGCAGGAAAAGTTCTGTTTTTGTGGGGTTAAGGGATGAGGGTGGGAAATAGCATGGAGCTGCTAAAGTTAAATGACTTCTCCAAACTTATTGCAAGCACTAGGTGACCTGATTGCAGATAAATACACACTGGAAAAACACACCCCTCCTCTCCTTTAATCCTGAATTAACATAATTAATCATGTATAATGTGTGTTTATAAATTATATTTTTCTGTGAGGCTGTTCTGTATTACCTTTAAGCAGCACCAGCAAACCCCTTCCAATATTCCATGTCTTCAGATTTTCTTCCTCCCCTTCCCCACCTTGATCTCCCAAGTCCCTAAATCTGTAGAAGACCCATTAAGAAAATCATTTTCCACCCCACCCCCAACAGCACCACATACCTGGTAATAAATAATATGATCACTGCCTAACAGGCACTCAGAAGAGCCTGGTGATAAATAAAGAGACTTCTCATCTCTCCATAGGCTCTGCAGCTAGGGCTGGCAGAGGAGAGTTCGCTATTAAAGAACTCACATAGCCACAGGCAAATTCTCTTACCCGCTTCTCCTTGTGGAGACCTTTTCTTAAAAGCTGAGATTGCTCTGATGGTTCAAGGTGCTATTGAGCTCTAACCAGGGACAATTACAAGACTCCAGTCGCAGCATCTGAGGCGATGCTTGTGCCTGATAAGGTTGCTGGAGAATAATGCGAAGGAGAGAGGCCTGATAATGGATTGCTGAAAGGATGGGATGAGGCATCTTTGCCCAGAGCCTAAAGACAGAGCAGCTGCTGTTGCAGAAAGGCCTCCCCCTACCCCACCCTCAAATTGTTTTACATTTTTATTGCATTAAAAAAACACCCTCTAAACATGCACTTCAGAAATGATTTTTCCCCCTAGCTCCAAGCTAGTAACACTCCTCACCAACTGATTTTATACCATGAGAGATTTTGAGAATAATTCTTCCTTTCTCATTCATTTTTTCCCTCCTGTTTTGTATTGAGAAAACCAGAGATGGAACAATCGTTGTATTTTGTCTCCTCCCTTTCTCTGGTTGCATGGTTGCTTCATATAATTTTCCACCCTACCTTATTCTTTGGCTTTAAAAATCTTTTGCAAAAGCAAAAAACCCATAGTGATTTTAAAATGGTATTTTCTTTTTTCTTTTCATTTTCCTGCCTGTTGTCTGTTGTCTTTGGAATCTCTCTCTCTCTCTGCTCGAATTTGATGAGAGGGAATTTCCCAGGTTTAGCCAAATACAGAAATGCAAGCCACTTTGTGCAAATTGTGTACAAGCACTATTTAAGAGACAAAATATATGAATTCTGTCCAAAGACACGTTATCTTAAAGCAACCTGAAAACTGCAGGAGCAGGGATGTAGGAGAAATTTTATTAGCTTGAATTTCTCAGTGTGACTAGAAGCCTACATTTCCCACTGGGTACAGGTGGAGCCAGAGGATTAGGTACAGTGGAATGTTTTGGAGGCTGGGCTTTGGGGTGAGAGTGCAGCATCAGCCATGTGCTTCTTTTACCCATTGTTTGAAGCCATTTCTATGAGTGAATCACACTAAGAAGAATATCAGCTCAGATACAGCAGATGTACAAGAACTAGTTGCTGAACTCTAAGAGCATAAGTTTGGGCCAAAATTAGCAATAATGGATTAATAAAACAAAAGAGTACAACAGGGCTATGTGGTACAGGTGCCAGGTGCTGATGGCTTCCACAGTACCAACGAAATGATGAGGGTTTTGGCAGTCAGGGCCATCATTGAGGACAAGGTGAGATTTAGCTGGGTCTTGAAGGATTAAGAGATCTGTACTTGACCACGGGCTTCCAGAGAGAAGGGAGTACCTCTAGTACTCCCTCTAGGGCTGTCTGCACGACTTTAGGTAAGGCCAGGAGCCCACTACTACAGCATGGGTCACACACTATGAAGTTGGCCCTGCCTGGCACCTTCACAGACTACTGCTTCAGTGTGTCGAGGGAGGGTCCAGAAGGGTCGTTTTGCTCACTTTGTACAATGAGCTTAGCATAGATTCAACCAACTGCGATCCCAACACAAGGTGAGTGCAAGGCTAAAATGTTCAGGTGATTCCAATTTAAAGCATTCTGTAGTATTATTGCCTATTGTTTAACAATGTTTCACTATTCTGTTGTTGTTCTGAAAGCATGGACATCAAATACACAAAATATGTTCAAAAATTTTTGGCTCTTCTATTTCAGTGCAAAGAGTATGTCTTGGATTGATGTCCCAGGGGATGTGAGGGATGCTGAACGCTGCCCTGGCCTTCAAGGAATGGTGATGTACATCCATTCATCACAGCAGGCTCAGAAGCACCACTCCACAGGATGCTTTGTCAGGCATCAGAGGGTCCAATCTTAAATACCTCAACACAACTAAATGGACTTCTCAACCATAATTTGTGGATCACACCTGTGACATTTGCAGGCACAGGCTTAATATTCAGGAGTTTAGTAATTTAACAGTGACCCAAAGATGCACAAAATGTTTCAGTAAAATCTTTTTGCTGAGGCACAAATATGAACCAGAAGCTGCAGACTGGGGCACAGGAATGAGGCACTTATTCTGGCCACTTATGTGAGCTGCAAGTACCTTTCATTGTGGCATTGGAGCTTTCCATTCATGTTAACTGTGTAGTTATGGGACTAATTCTATGGTGCAGCAATATTTATAAGGTGGGAGATCCAAGAGGGACTTAGAATTTACTCCTCTAAAAGGCTAAGGGATGAATGTGAGTGAAACTTTTCACCGATTCAGACCGGTATTTTCCTAATTAGTTTGGGCTGAATTTCTCATTCTGTATCTCTATTTTTATGCCCTGGTTCCCCATTGCACCTCTTGGCTTGGACTTTCTCACTGTTTCTCACATTCCTCATTCCTGAGGAACCTGAAATCTTTCAACATAAGTCCTGTGTCTATGTCCTTTCCCATGTTGGTGGTGGGAGTTAGTTTTTGTATGTGCCGAGGAAATATATACGTCTAACAGAAGTTATTAGCACAATTTGTGCTTGTATGAAAGTATTCGTAAAAAAAAAAAAAGATATTGCTTGTAAGTCAATTAAACATTTGTGGCCTAAAGTAGTGAATGCTAACGTGAAAAGACAGGATTTCTAAATTCTATGACATTTCTAGGTTTTCAAAAAAGATTTACAAATTGCTATTTATCAAAGAATTTATTTTAAAGATCCATAGTCCTTAGAGCTAGAAAACCCCAGGAATTTCACAGTGATCATCTCAGCAAGCCCCAACTCTATGCATCAAATGGCTCTGAGACCCCCTATTTTGTTCCTCAAAGGTCTTTAGATGAAGCCTTCAGCATGAAGGACAATGTCAGGACTAGACAGTCATGAGACCTAGGTTATTCAAGGGAGAATAAGCAGCTGCTTTTCCCATGGAGACATTTGCTGTGTGTTCTTGAAGAACTTTTGAATACCAATAACATTCCCTCTCCACACAGCCCCTACGTGAAGAGGGTTTCTCAGAGTTCCACAGCATCCATCAAAAAAGCCATGGCTCCTTTCAAAAGTGTGTACGTGCTAAAAGCCCTCACCAATTCAAGAGTTTAGTGTAAGAAAAGTCTCTCATGTCTTTTTTTTTTTTTAAAGGCAAGTAAGGAAAAAAAACCTCTCAATTTTCTAGAGTTTTAAAACTTATTTTTTAAATTAAAATTTTAAGCTGAGGATTTACAAATCGGCTATTAACTTTTAAGAGTTTCATTATGGTTTTTAAAAATCATAATTACTTGAGGTAGGGGAGAGGAGGTGTCTACTTTATTCCTAATGGAAACTATACATATAGATGAAGGGTCTATATAAAATAATGGGAGCCATGATTATACTAATACTGTCTAACTGATATTCAATAACTCACCCTTCTATTTCCCATTGTCCATATTTAAATACTTCAAAAAGAATTCTAATCAAGTGGAAATTAATAGGGGAGGAAAGACTGGGGCTGGCAGGAGAAGGTTCTAATCCCACTATCTCTTAATATTTCAAAGTCTCTTTTATTTTCTTAATAAAAAGGCAAGAGAAAGAGAGAGAGAGAGAGAAAAGGGAATTAATCCAGTGCTCTGAACTGTCCTCTCATCTTAATGCTTTAAATAAATTCTAAGAGAATATTATACATGAGAAGGCTATATATGGCCAATGGCTGGGCTTTCCTTTTGCTTCTCAACTTTTTTTCCTGTCTTTTCTTCTTCCTTCTCTTTATTCTACCTATCTTCTCTCTGTCTTCTTCCCTCCATTCCCAAGATCTTCAAAACCCAGTGATCAAAGCTGTATGTAAAGCCCAAGTTCCCCCTTACCTTTGGCCACATATCTCTCCCTCCTTGCTTTCTTTCCCATCCCATCACCTCTGGGCACACTTCCTTCAGTAGACCATGTGTCTCCATTTCTTTGTGTTTCTAGACTTGTTTTTCCCTCATTTAACCTATGTCTACTCTCTCCTCTTGCCCCCAATTCTATTAATTCTTCAAGCCTCACCTTCTCTATGAAATACGTAGCTTCTTAAAATTATAATAAAATATTATAACCATTAATAATTATTGAGCAATTCCAGGGTTCTAGGCAATTTACTTGCATTGTATCATTTAATTCTTTCTGAAATCCCTAGGAGATTATCCCAACTTCATAGGTGGGGACTGGGACTAGGAAGAGGTTGAGTCAATTGTCAAAAGTTGCAGGAGTGGGAGAGCTAGAGCAAGGGGTCTAACATCTGCTTCCTTTCTTGCCCCTGAACCGCTAATGCAGTTATAGTCAAATCACAGAGGATTGAGAACTTCAAATTTCTCTAATTAATTCATATAATGCCAATTTTCTTAAGCAAAATGATAAGTCTTGTGACAAGGACTATCATATCTTTATATTTGCTTGTATCTCTTGTATCTTGGTTGGGGTAAGTACATAGTAGATTCTCGGTGCCTATTTGATGATAAAGATCTGGTTTCCCCCTAGGAACTTTATCATTTTCACTGTATTTATGCACCCATTCACCATGCAAACCCAATTTAGGTCTTCTAATGACACATATTATTCTACCTTTCTTCAAAATTGAACTAAATGAGTCAATACTGACACATCAGAAAGTTGCTCTCTAGGCCGGGCATGGTGGCTCATGCCTGTAATCCCAGCACTTTGGGAGGCTGAGGCGGGCGGATCATGAGGTCAACAGATTGAGACCATCCTGGCCAACATGGTGAAACCCTGTCTCTACTAAAAATAAAAACAAAATTAGCCAGGCCTGGTGGCGCGCAGCTGTAGTCCCAGCTAGTCGGGAGGCTGAGGCAGGAGAATTGCTTGAACCGGGGAGGCGGAGGTTGCAGTGAGCTGAGATTGCACCACTGCACTCCAGCCTGGTGACAGAGTGAGACTCCATCTCAAAACATAATAATAATAAAATAAAAAAAGAAAGTTGCTTTCTAATACGTATTATTGATTGATTGATTGATCCATTCATTCATTCCAAAAATACTTATTGAGCATGTGTGGCACTATTGTAGACACTGGAGGGAACTTCATTACAGCAGTGAAGAAAATATACAGAAAATTACTGCCCTCATTGTGCTGCCTATATTCTAGTTGGGAGAGACAGATAAACAAAATAAATAAGTATAATATGTGTTAGAGCGCAATAAAGCTATAAAAAATAAAGCAGGAGATGAGATAGGTAATTGATAGAAGAAGGGAGGGGGCTATGACTTTAAATAGAATGATCAGGGAAAGACTGACAGCACAGACCTGAGGGAGGTGCAGGAATGCAGATGTCTGGGTGGAGAATAGTGTAAGCAGAAGGCATAGAAAATACAAAGGCAGGAATGTGCCTGGAATGTGCAAGAACCAGCAAGCAGGTCAGTGTAGCTCACTTATCCTTAATTATAGAAGAGAAATTATATCTCCTATGTATGCATGTTTGAAAGCATTGTTAAAAGTTGCCTATAGAGTCACATAGGCAGGCAGATTCCCAAAGTACCATGTAAATTTTGAGCAGAAAGATAGAAAAAGAGTATAAATATGTTACCATTTTTTAAAACTGGTCAGTGTTTTAGTTCACATTTTCTGGAAAACAAAGGCTGAGGTGAGGATTAAGATAAAGGTTTGTCTTTATGTGAGAGATAAAATCCCAGGCTGGAGAAAGCATAAAGAGAAGCCAGTCAGGGAAGGAAAGGGGACAGTGCAAGGTGATGCATGACTTCTCCGTCTACTCTCTCACAGGGACCCTAGAAGACACAGAGCAGGTGACCTTTCAGGGACATCTGCACAGCCATGCAGGGCAGCACCAGAAGTTGTGCCTTGCCCAATCTATGAAAGGGAGAAAGGAGAAGAAATTTATCAGTGGATTCCCTGACAATACCTGTTTTCAATTGGCCAAATTTCATCCTTTAGATAGATAACCCCCACCACACACATACCCCACCTGTACCCCCACACTTGACTTTCTGGTTGTAAAATCTGGCTTCCTTGTCCATGTCTGTAGTGTGACATTTCATTAAAGTTACAAGTGATGACAGAGACCAGACATGGTTAGCCTGGTCATACAGCAGCTGCCAAGTCAGAGGGGCCAGCATTCACAGGCAAGCAACTGGTTGGCCTCAGACAGTGAGAAATGTGGGTTCTGAGTGGGACTGGTAGGCAGAAATAGCAGCTGAGGCAGAGCAGGTAGCTAAAGGCCTGAAGGTGTTTAAGAAGTGTCCAATATAGTCAGTTAATAGCAATATTTAACAAGAGCAAATGCTTACACAATCCTAAAAATAAATGAGACAGAGGCCCCATTTCCCCTTAGTTTGTAATAAATTGTGTAGAGGAGATAAGTGATGTGTGTAAATGTTTTATGTCAAGAGGAAAAATAAAGAGGGATTGGGAAAAGAACAATCTCGCCATAACTAGGAAAATGTAAAACGGAATACTGTGAGTCTGTTACTTTCTTGGGAATACCAACTAGCCACACTAAAGATACTCTAAAAATCAGTTCCAGTACAAGAGTGTCCCACAAAAAGTTAAAGCCAATGGGAGAGTACAGGAATCTAGGTCAGAGGATAAAATAAACATAAAAGCAATTTAATTGACTTAATATGGCTGAATCTCCTTTTTAAAATGAGCGAATGGGGGAACTTGATGGATTTAATCATAGCTGAAATTCACTGTGTGAATATTATAAGTATCTAAAATACTAGATAACCTATTCTGTTATATACTCTTCCCAATTTTCAAATCATTTAGTTATTGGAGAGATATAGTTATAGAAGTAACTCTAAAAATTTAATTTAGTAAAATGTAATATTATTTATAAAGTGAAACAAGTCTAGAAGGAACAGAAACATAAAAATATTATCAAGTATATCGCTATGGCAGAACCAAATGCAACACAATTTTGAGGTATGTCATGAGACACTTCTTTATGAAGATTAAATTTAGAATTAGTGAATTCCCTATATTCTCTCCAGTTCTTTTTTGACTTGCTGTAGTCTGCCTTCTCTCTGAAAAAAATAGTTTTATGAAAATTCAGTCAATGAAATTGGTCTGTTGAACTTTAATTTAGCATCATAGTGAAATTGTGTGTGTTTCGTGAGCAACTATCTCATTCAAGAGGTTGCCCACAGAGTTTGCAGCTAGAGAGGACCTTCAGAGAATCAGGGCAACCCTTCATTTTACATCTGAGTAAGCCAAAGTCTAAGGCGTAAAAGATATTCACCCAATGCCTCACAACAAAAAGATGCCTCCAGACTTCTGTCAGTATACATTTAAAATATCTACTTTCATGTCTATACACAGGTAGGAAGCATGAATAAAGAGGTTTAAGTTTCATTGGAAACAAATATCTCTTACATAATTTATTTATTGTCACATAACAAATTACCTCAAAGCTTAGTAGGTTAAAACAATAATCATTTTTCACTCACAATTTCTGTTGGTCAAGAATTCGGGAATAGCTTATGGGAGTGTTCCTGGCTCAAGGTTTCTCATCTTGCAGTAAAGATACTGAATGGGCCTGCAGTCATCTGAAAAGTTAACCAGGACTAGAGGATTTGCTTCCAAAATGGTTCACTTACATGGCTGTTATCAGGAAGCCTCAGTTCTTTGTGCCTAGGTCTCTCCATAGAACTGCTTGAGTGTCCTCATGTCATGGTGACTGGTGGCCACCAAAGTAAGTGATCCAAGAGCAAGGAGGAAACCACAATGCTTTTTATGACCTGGTCTTGGAAGTCACACACCATCACTTCTGTTACATTCTATTTGTTACACAAGTCAGCCCTGTTAAATGCAGGAAGGCCCTATGCAAGGGTGGGAGTACCAGGAGAATGAGGATCATTTGGGGGTCCTGGTGGAGGTTGGCTACCACATCTCCTTTAAATCACAACCAGAAATTCCTTAAATTTGTTTGGAGACACACTCCAGTGCTTACTAACTATAAATATCAAGAAACCCTAACTTCTCTCTGACTGGTCTGGCTGCCTTTTCCAAACTACTTTACCATTGACCACTATAGTTGACTCCCACAACAACTTTTGAATATTAAACTAGAGTTGGAATTTGAAGAAGCACGGACACACAGAGATTAAGTGATTTCTTTAAGGTCACCCAATGGTAGAGCAGAGGGTTGGAGACCTCTCCACTGGGTTCATGCCATTTGACTACATTACCCTCTCTCACTTTCTTGGTTATCTTTCTTCCGTCTGATCACTACTGATCATTCAGTAAAATTCTATCTCATGGCTTACATTTTTTCTCTCTGTCTCACCTGACAGCATCCTAGATTTCATCGTCCAAGTGGGTGAATCCAGTCATTATGCTGGACTCATTATGCTCGATCTTCACATCACCAGTGATCTTCTTGCCACCCTAGTTATCCACATTTATCATTCCATGGACTCTGTTGTACTGCTCTGCCTCCAGATTCACCAGTTTAATCATCAACTTTCTAACTACAATCTTGTCTCCTTTCATTGCTACCTGTGATAACTAACTTTATACGTCAACTTGACTAAGTTTTGGTGCCCAGTTGTTTGGTCAAACACCAGCCTAGATATTGCTGTGAAAGTATTTTTCAGATGGGATTAAAATTTAAATCAGTAGACTTTGAGTAGATTACCCACCATAATGTGGGTGGGCTTCATCCAATCAGTTGAAGGCTTTAACAGCAAAGACTGAGGTCCCCCAAAGAAGAAGGAATTAAGCCTCCAGATCATAACATAGAAATTCTGCCTCAGTTTCCAGTCTTTTAACTCAAGACTGCAACATCAACTCTTACCTGAATTTCCAGCCTGTAAGCCTGTCCTGCAGATTTTGGACTCACAATTATGTGAGACAATTTCTTTAAGTCTCTGTCCATCTCTGACTGTCTGTCTCTGGCTCTCTCTCTTTCTTCCTTTTCAACCTCACAGGGTCCTCTATATTGAATCATATATTTTTTCCAATATATCAATAATCTTCCTTTATTTTCCTCCTTTGCCAGCTTAGATATCATGGTCCTTCATGCAATAACACTGTTTCAAAGAGACTGTCTTGTACAGTGGAAAAAATGTTCAAATACCATCAGCACCCCATACCTGTGGGTTCTGTATCTTTGGGTTCAATCACTGACCAAAATTATTCAAAGAAAAGTGAACACTTCCATCTGTACTGGACATGTAAAGACTTTTTCTTGTCATTATTCTCTAAACAATACAGTATTAACAACTATTTACATAGCATTTACATTATACTAGGTATTATAAGTAATCTAGAGATTTAAAGTATATCAACTATTTACATAGCATTTACATTACATTAGGTATCATAAGTAATCTAGAGATGATTTGAAGTATATGGAAGGATGTGTGTAAATGATATGCCAATACTACACCATTTCATATAAGGGTCTTGAGCATCCATGAATTTTGGTACCTATGGGGGGTCTTGTCACTAATCCTGCATGATACCAAGGATGATTATATTTGTTACCTATCTACCACGTGCTAGTCATGGGGGATACATAATTTTTAAAAAAGAAAGGAAGAAACCACTTCATAACTCTCCAACAAAAACCTGACCTCCATGAAGCCAAGTATTTATTTTCTTTACACCTGCTAGAGGAAGTCACTTAATAGAGCAGATTGGTACCACCCCATCAAAACAGGCCCCCACCTGCTGGCAGTTGTACGATAGTTCTCTGATAATTTGTTCGCTCATGCTCTTCGACTACAGTATTTTCAACCATTGCTACTCCCCACAAACCTTCAATCCACCTATTTTTTCTCCCACTCTCAGAAGATGATCTTGTCTTTTATTTTGCAAAGAAGTTAAAAATTATTTGTCAATACTTCTTTATTTTCCACCTTCTAAACTCATAAGTCTGTCTTTATCTGCACCCATTCCCTCCCCTCCAAAGAAAGAGACAAGTTGCTTCTATTGCTTAATTTTTTTCATTAAAAAATGTAAGTTTTATCCATATTTCTTTTAGATGCTACTTTCTTGCCTCTCTTTTAATATTTGTATGATTGGGGTGACAGTTATCAATTGACGGACAGCAGAAGTTGAGACGAGGAACTGTGAAGCTAGGTTGTTGGACAGATGAAGATTCCAAATGTTGGGATCTCCCCAGGTATCAGCAAGAGTGAAAGAGGAGAGGATTACTAAGAGCCTAATGCCAGTCTTAAGAGAGTGAAAGGAAATGACTGAATGGTTAATAATACATGACTGGGTTGAGAAAGGTTAACAAGACTAAATAGGGCAAAAGCCTCAAAGGAAGATCTTTTATCAGAGAGTGAAAGATGAAAGATTTAGAGAGTAGTGCAACATGAACTGAATGCTAACATTCCTCTTCTGGCTTTATGGAGAGTTGGTAAGTTGCCCGCTGTGACTCCCAGGGCAAAGGAGAGAAAGGGAGAATGTAGTAAGTGGAACACAGTGAAAAGTTCCAGGAGATAGTCAAGGAATTAGAAGTGAGGAATTACAGAACAGTGGATGAGGTTGGGAAATCGGACTGCTGTCTTTCAGTGCCAATTGGCTGAATGTTCTGACGGTGGCCTCAATGATTATGACACCAGATCTGGCTGATAATCCCAGATGCACAGCCTAGCCCAGAAAGGTAGTGAAAGCTCTTTCTCAAGGTGTGGGAGTGGAGAGAATCTGTTTAAGGCAAGTGATGTAGGATTTGCTTGCTGGGAAAGGACTTGTTTTCGTTCACTTCACAGGAGAGAGGCTAACTTGGCAGGTTATTTCCAAGTGTTTATTCAAATCATAGTTCTGAATTATATCTTCAGTGGCATTAGGCTGCTTCTAGTGACTCCCCTTCATATGCAAATTCCCCCCTTAAAAAAGGAAGTTATCTGTGTCCAAATAAAGTCACTAAATCCCATTAAGGGGGCTCCAACTTCATGACCTCATCTAAACCTACCTCTCCCAAGGGCCCACCTCCTAATACCTTCCCACTGAAATTTAGAGTTTCAACATACAAACTTTGTGGGGATAAACATGCGATCTATAACAAACATATTTTGAGAGCAACAATTATCACCAAAAGTAGTTTTCCTATAGCAAAACAAGAGCTGTATAGATCATCCTTCCTTCATGCTTTACCTGGAAGAGTCAAAAAAAATTTGTGGAACTGTCCTTTCACTCACCTTCCAGCTTCTGGGATCAAAGCAAATGTTCTGTGATTCTAGAAACCCTGACTAGAGCTTGGGACTTTAAATATTTGAAAAAGAAATCTATGCCTTTGCAGTTTCAATGAGATCTTCAATGCATTTAATGCAAACCAAAAGAACAAGCTCACCAAGAAGTCACTTGACCCTGAGCCAGAGCCACAATTAGAAGCCTGGCATTGTGAGGAACTTTGGAGGAGACACTGGCCTTCTACTCTGTGGCTTTTAATCAGAGATATGCATCAGATTCTTGGAACCTGGGGAGCTTATTTTCAAAATGTACCTTCCCAGAATCTGCTCCAAATCTATGAACAAGTACCTCAGAAGGTAGGAGATTTTTTAAGGTGAATCTGAAATATGGGCATTTTCAAAGCTTCCCAGGAGATTCTCATGCCCAGCAATGGTTAAGAACCACCGTTTCTGTCTAATGCAGGATCCCTGTCTTGGCAGACAACCATGGGTGGTCATGGGTGGTCTCTGCTAAAGACTGCACTGGACTCCCATCGTAGGTTGCATTTATATCTAAATATTTGCTGGCCCTTCTTACTGGGTCCCTCCCTTTGCCCTTTCCTGGCCCACCCTGTCCCCTTATGATGCCTGGTATATTTGTTTCCTAGGGTTGCCATAATAAAGAACCACAAACTGGGTGACTTAAAACAACAGAAATGTATTCTCTCACAGTCACAGTTTTAGAGACTAGAAGTCTGAAATCAAGGTGTTAACAGAGCCATGGTCCATTTGAAGCCTCTAGGAGAGGGTCCTCCCTTGCCTCTCCCAGTTTCTGGTAGGCCCACGTGTTCCTTGGCTTGTGGAAACATGACTCTAATCTCTGTCTCTGACTTTATATGGCCTTCCCTCTGTGTCTGTGTCTCTTCTTTATTATAAGAAATCAGACATATTGGATTAAGGGCCCACCCTATTCCACTATGACCTTATCTTAATTAATTATATTTGCAATGGCCCTACTTTTAAATAAGGTCATATTCTGAAGTGCTGGGCATTAGGACTTTGATATATGTTTTTTGAGGGATACAAGTCAACCCATAAGGCCTGGCTTAACCTGGCCCTGCATTTGGTCCTGCATTGGCCAAAGATATATGAAAGGAAGAGACATGGACCACTACAGAGAAAATGCTTACAGAGCCGTGTTTTCATCCTCTCATCTTTCTGTTCCACTGCTATTAGACATGCATGTTGCAGATAGGGGCTGCCCCTTTACCCTTGCTCCTAGAATAAAGATACAGCTAACTCTCACATGGCCAGTAACTTGGACTAGAGAAAACCTATTGTAGGGCTGACAGGATTTTCGGGTACTTGCTATCACAGCATATCCTAGAAAAGTCTGACTAATGCAGCCCCCCTTTGTTGGATGCCCCAAATGTTAGACAGTTCCTTATTCTAATAGGCTGAAGCAAACCTGATTCATCTCTGTTGGGGAAATCTTCTTTACTACATTGTGTTCTTACTTCCAGGAAGTAACACTGGGCTTGGAGGTTGAGAAGAAGTCAACATTTCATTTACAATTTCGGCTAGATATTAGAACCTTAGGAACTTACATTTGTCCCTTAGTAGAGAGCAGTGTTAGAGTCATATGCTTTGGGATTCCAAATAAGGAGATATCAAAAGAGCTTTCTTGTCCTTTCTTAACTGCTATATGAGTTGTCTTCTAACTCCTCTGTGACACAGGGCCAGCTTGGGTCAGCTTTGTGTGCCGTCAGGCACCATCTTCCTCTATTGCTTAGTAATAGTCAAATGAATCTTCTGGGCTTAGCTAAACATTTTTTAAATTAATGAATGTAAGTGTGTTACTATATGAGGACAGAATTGAACAGATATTTATATTTTCTGTAAGTAACAGAAATATTCCTAAATGAATAGGCAGAAAACTAGAGTAGGCACTAATTTTGCCTACTAAGACTTCTGGGTTCCTCAGTTCAGTCAAGACTGTTTAGACAGCAGTTGCTTCGGCAATGGAAATAGTCAAGTAGGCCACATTTAGAAAAGGGTCTTTAGTATACTCCTATTATCTAATTTTATTTCAGTTGAAAATACTTTGTTACTAGAATGGAAATTCTACATGCTCAAAGGCTAAATAAAGTCCTAGTTTGGATTTTTGCAAATAAGGATAACCATACCAGGCCTGAAGTGAGACAAAGCTTTACAGAATCTCTTTGCAGTGCAGAGCTTTATCCATCCACTCGTCTCATCCATCCAAATATCCATCATTCAGCCATTCACCCAAAAGGCATTTGCTGAACTCCAGCTATGTGCCAGCTACAGCAAAACACTGGGAACATAAGGATGGATATTCCACCTGCGCTGCCACATGCACCTCTCTTCCAGCTCCACATGATGGCTCATGATGTATCTCACATTCCTGAGGGTTTTCAGGCCTGATTTTGGAAGGTTTTTGAAAGCCCAGCCACAGCCCAGGCAGCTCCTGACTTTGTCAGAACATTCAGGCACATCCTACATAAGCAGAAGGAGTTTAGAGACAAGGCCCAGGTTGCCATTCACTCTACCAAACAGAGTGGTTTCCTGCCTGGCCTAGATCTGGGCCTGCATTTCCAAGACTTACAAGGAAGTGAAATAGAAATCATAGTTACCTTCTCCATATCAATAAAAGGGCTGCTCCACATTTCTGTGTAGGAGCCATGGGCTTGTGGTTTGCCCTAACCCATGAGCCCCAGGAGAGGGCTCTGAAATGATCAGAGAGCTCCAGACTTTTCCTTACTCCCCTGATGCTGCTCCATGAATCCTGAGCACCAGTGGAAGTCTGAGAGTGAAAAAGAAATAAAAGAAGGAAGGAAGGGAGAAAAGGAGAAAGAGAGAGAGAGAGATGAAAACACCATCTCTCTCTCTGTATTCAGCCAGAGAGATGGATACACCATGGTTTCTGCCCCCAAAGAACTATCAGACTAGTGGAGGTCACTTCTATGGATAGGGAGGTAGTGAGGAGTAGTCAAGAAAGACTTTATAAGCTGCATCTTGCAGTTGGGTTGGGGGTCTCTATTACAGTGAATTTTTTCTCACTTGTGAGGAGGAAAACACTAGGTGGAGAGTCAAGAGAATTTTAGTCCCAAAATGATCACCAAGAAGCCATTCAACCTTGATCAACTATCTTTACTACCTTCACAGCCTTAGTTGTGTTAGTAAAATAAACACATTGAACTAGCTTATTTCTGACATTCCTCTGTGTTTCATGATTTAAGACTCCACATTTAAAATCTTCTCAGTTGCTATTTATTTTAATATGTCTCCCCAGTGATCTCAAGTAGCTTATAATCATGGCTTTTGAGTGAAAAAAATACATTTATTTAAGTTACTTTGGTTGTGACATTTGTGCACTTTGCCCATTCTAATCAATATTTTCATGATTACGCTTACATTTGAATTATGCTACATACACATAAAGTAAGTCAGGTACATATTCTTTTCTGCACTGTGTTATTATCAGCACTCCCATTTTATAGATGAAAAAACTAAGAGTAAGAAAGAATAAAAAGCTTGCATACCCTAACTTGATAAGCGAAATAGGTTTTAGATAAAACTGCTTTCCAAGTACCTGATTCCAAAGCCAGTGTTCAGGCTGGGAAGCAAGTCTTTATCACCTTGAGAACAGAATGTTGTGATTTTTCTTTCTTGGGAATTTCTTTGAAAATCATCTCAATGCAACAATTCTTACAGAATATAAGAGTACAACTTTTCTTTGGCACAATCTCTGGGGAAGTGATCATGTCTTTCTTACTGGTGGTGCTGGTCCTATTGGAAAAACAGAGTCTGAAATCAGTTATTTCATCCTCTATCCAAATGATAACTAGTTTAAACTTTTTCCCCCTTGAATGGGGACAAAATACTTCACTTTCTGATTTCTCCTTTTGAATGACTTTTTATCTAAAAACTAGAGAAGTACATTGAAACATTTTGCTATTTAAAATATTTCCTAAGTCTTCAGCTCTAGAATTGGGACTCTATTATACAGTTTGGGTTTTGTTGTTACTTTCTGTTGAAGATAAACCAAGCAATGGCTTACATCTACTTTAGGACTTAGAGAATTATTTCCCTGCTCACAGCATTTGTCTTGATCCCAGTCCCAAGATGAATGGCTGAAAATTTTTTTTTTTCACTGATTCTAAGTCAGTTCTAGGTGTGTCTTCTCTGTGGCTCAGGAAGAGTTCCTGGCCCTCCTCCCACTATTTACGTCAGGTGTTCTCTACGTTCAGCAACCCTAAGTCTTCACCTTCTCACTGGATGTCAGATTTTTAAAATAAATTCCTTTGAGTTGATGAATGCATTTTGTTTCATTTTTATTTATTACAGTGAAACTTCTATTTCTAATTAAATAATACATCTTTATAATTTAAAAAATCAGCAATATACAAAAGTATAACGACATAAGTGAAAAAAATCACATGAAATACAAACTTCTGAGGAATCTATCATTAACAAAAATTTTGTGGCCATCTTTTAATACATATCTTAATGCATTTTAACTAAATTGGGTACGCTACATACTATTTTTTATTATGACATTGTTATGTAATCTCTTACTCTTTGATTACCTCTTCCCTCCCTACAAATTCCTTACCTCCGCTATACTCCCAAATAACAAAGGGAAATAACTGCATGTGCATTTTCTTTTTGTTTAAATAAATTAAGGATTTTTAAAATTTTTTCCCAAAATTAAATGATTATTTAAAAATTGTGCCACAATATAAATAAATCCACACTCTCTCTCTTAATTCTGTGCATCTGGGACTACAGAAAAGTCGGTGTTCCTGCCTTACATCTTCAAATTAACATTGTCAGGCAAGAATAAGTCTTCCCAAAAGGGATCTTCCAGAAAAACAAGCTATTTCCTCGGTTCATATTTCCCTTTTTGTGTAGCATGCACCAATAATCTATCGAAGAAGAATATCTTGGAGAGTAAGGAGGGCATTCACCAGCAACACCACAGGGGCTGAAAGCCATAAGACTGGAGACAAGTACAAAGAGGTAGGTCAACATACTAGCAAAAAAATCCTGTGACAGCTTGAGAATAACTCTTCATTTCATTCCTGATAGAAACCCTGTCCAGGTATTGATGAGGTAGGCCAGTGAGTTACACATCCACAAAGAAATTATGTCACCCAGGAGGCAAGGAACAAGACCCATGGAAAATCCTAGGATGCTCTCTACCCAATAGGTGGTTACCAAGGAGTCACAAAGTCCACAGTACTTGCATTCTCTGCCAATGACTTGTACCATAGATCTCAGAGTAATCATATAGAAGGAGTGTGTGATGAGGGTACAAGCAGAATGAGTGATCATATCTTAAGTGGTCTCCTTGTTAACTATGTCAAAGGAAGATGAGACTTCTTTTTTTTTAACTTTTAGGTTCAGGAGTAAATGTGAAGGTTTGTTATATAGGTAAATTGCATATCATGGGGTTTGGTCACCCAGGTGAAAAGCATAGTGCCCAATAGGTAGTTTTTTGATGCTCACTCTCCTCCCACCCACTACCTCAAGTACACCCTAGGGTTTGTTGTTTCCCTCTTTGTGTCCATGTACACTCAATGTTTAACTCTCATTTATAAGTGAGAATATGTGGTATTTGGTTTGCTATTCCAGTGTTAATTTGCTTAGGATAATGACCTCCAGCTCCATCCATGTTGCTGTAATGGACATGATCTTGTTCTTTTTATGGCTGTGTAGTATTCCATGGTGTATATGTATCACATTTTCTTTAATCAGTCTACAATTGATGGCCATTTAGGTTGATTCCATGTCTTTGTTATTGTGAAGAGTGCTGCAAAGAACATATGTGTGCATGTGTCTTTATTGCAGAACAACTTATATTCCTTTGGGTATATACCCAATAATGGGATTTCTGGGTTGAATGGTAGTTCTATTTTAAGTTCTTTGAGAAATCACCAAACTGCTTGCCACAATGACTAAAATAATTTACACTCCCATCAGCAGTACATAGCATTCTCTTTTCTCCACAACCTCACCAGCATCTTTATTTTTTGACTTTTTATTAATAGCCATTCTGACTGGTGTGAGGTGGTATCTCATGGTACTTTTGATTTGCATTTCTCTAACGATTAGTGATGTGGAGCATTGTTTCATATGCTTGTTGGCTGCACGTATGGCTTCTCTTGAAAGTGTCTGTTCATGTCCTTTGCCCAGTTTTGATGGGGTTGTTTTTTGCTTGTAAAATTTGTTCAAGCTCCTTATATTAGTAGATTCTGGATATTAGACCTTTGTTGAATGCATAGTTTGCAAATGTTTTTTCCCATTCTGTAGGTTGTCTGTTTACTTTCTTGAGAGTTCTTTTGTTGTGCAGAAGCTCCTTAGTTTAATTAGGTCCCATTAGTCAAATTTTGCTTTTGTTGCAATTGATTTTGGCATCTTCATCATGAAATCTTTGCCAGGGGCCTATATCCAGAATGGTATTTCCTAGGTTATTTTCTAGAGTTTTTACAGATTTTCATTTAAGCACTTAATCCATCTTGAGTTGATTTTTATATATGGTGTAAGGAAGAGGTCCAGTTTCAATCTTCTGCATATGGCTAGCCAGTGATCCCAGCATCATTTATTGAATAGAACGTGTTTCCCCCATTGCTGTTTTTGCCAATTTTGTCAAAGATTAGATGGGTGTAGGTATGTGGCATTATTTCTGGGGTCTCTATTCTGTTCCATTGGTATGTGTGTCTGTTTTGGTAGCTGTACCATACTGTTTTGGTTACTGTATCCCTATAGTATAGTTTGAAGTCAGGTAATATGATGCCTCCAGCTTTGTTCTTTTTGCTTAGGATTGCCTTGGCTATTTGGACTCTTTTGTGGTTACATATCAATTCTAAAATAGTTTTTTCTAGTTCTGTGAATAATGTCATTGGTAGCTTGATAGGAATAGGATCATTGAATCTGCACATTTCTTTGGGCATTATGGCCATTTTGACAATATTGATTCTCCCTATACATAAGCATGGAATATTTTTCCATTTGTTTGTCATCTCTGATTTCTTTGAAAAGTGTGTCGTAATTCTCATTGTAGAGGTCTTTCGCCCCCTTGGTTAGCTATTTTCCTAGGTATTTTATTCTTTTTGTGGCTGGCTATTGTAAGTGAGATTGCATTCTTGGTTTGGCTCTCAGCTTGGATATTGTTAGTGTATAGGAATGTTACTGATTTTTCTGCATTGATTTTGTGTCCTGAAACTTTGCTGAAATTGTTTATTAGATCAGGGAGCTTCTGGGTAGAGGCTAGGGGTTCTCTAGATATAGAATCATGTAGTCTGCAAACAGGGATAATTTGACTTCCTGTTTTTGTTTTTGGATGCCTCTTATTTTTTTTCTCTTGCCTGGCTGCTCTGGCTAGGACTTCCAATACAAGGTTGAATGAGAGTAGTAAGAGTAGACATCCTTGTCTTGTTTTGATTTTCAAGGGGAATGCTTCCAGCTTTTGCCTGTTCAGTATGATGTTGGCTGTGGGTTTGTCATAGATGGCTCTTATTGTTTTGAAGTATGTTCCTTCAATGCCTAGTTTGCTGAGGGTTCTTAACATGAAGGGATGTCGGATTTTATTGAAAGCATTTTCTGCATCCATTGAGATGGCCTTTTTTTTTTCTTTTAGTTATTTTTATATAAGTGCATCACATTAATTAGCTGCTGGATTCAGTTTGCCAGTATTTTGCTGAGTATTTTCGCATCTGTGTTCATCAAGAATATTGGCTGAAGTTTTCTTTGTGTGTGTGTGTCTCTGCCAGGTTTTGGTATCAGGATGAGGCTGACCTCATAGAATGAGTTAGGGAGGAGTCCTTCTCTTCAATTTTTTAGAATAGTTTCAGTAGGAATGGTACCAGCTCTTTTTTATACCTCTCGTAGAATTCAGCTATGAATCCAGCTGGTCCTGGGCTTTTTCTGGTTGGTAGGCTTTTTATTACTGATTCAATTTGAGAACTCATTATTGGTCCATTCAAGGACTCAATTTCTTTCTGGTTCTTTTTTTGGGAGGTTGTATGTTTCCAGGAATTTACCCATTTTTTTCTAGGTTTTCCAGCTTGTGGAAATAAAGGAGTTCATAAAAAAATTCAACCGAGAATTTCATTTCCACCCAAACTAAGCTTTATAAGTGAAGGACAAATAAGATTCTTTGCAGACAAGAAAATCCTAATTCTCTTAGTATTTACTTGTCTAAAAGGATCTTATTTGTTCTACTGAAACCATTTCTACTGAAACTATAATAATCTCTGAGGGTTTTTTTTTTTTTTGTATTTCTGTGGGGTCAGTAGTAATGTCTTCTTTGTCATCCTTGATTGTGCTTATTTGTATCTTCTCTCTTTTTTTCTTTATTAGTCTAGCTAGTGGTCTATCTATCTTGATAATTCTTTCAAAGAAGCAGCTCCTGGATTCATTGATCTTTTGTATGATTTTTCATGACTCAATTTCCTTCGTCTCTGCTCTGATTTTTGTTATTTCTTGTCTGCTGCTAGATTTGGAGTTGATTTGCTCTTGCTTCTCTAGTTCCTTCAGTTGTCATGTTAAGTCATTAATTTGAGATCTTTCTAACTTTTTGATGTGGGTATATAGTGCTATAAACTTCCCTTTTAACTGCCTTGGCTATGTCCAAGAGATTCTGGTATGTTATATCTTTTTTTCTCATTAGGTTCAAATAATTTCTTGATTTCTGCCTTGATTTCCTTACTTACCCAAAAGTCATTCAGGCCCCAGGTTGTTTAATTTCCATTTAATTGTATCATTTTGAGAGATTTTCTTAGCATTTATTTCTATTTTTATTGTATTGTGGTTCAAGAGTGTGGTTGCTGTGATTTCTTTTTTTAATATACTGAATATTGTTGTAGCCCCAATTGTGTGGTTGACTTTAAAGTATGTGGCATATGCAGGAAAGAAGAATGTACATTTTGTTGTTTTTTGGGTGGAGAGTTCTGTAGATGTCTATAAGATCCATTTAGTCAAGTGTAGAGTAAAGGTCCCAAATATCTTTGTAAGTTTTCTGTCTCAATGCTCTGCCCCAAACTGTCAGTCAGGTATTAAAGTCTCCCACTATTATTGTGTAGTTACCTAAATCTCTTTTTAGATCTCTAAGAACTTGCTTTATGAATCTGAGTGCTCCTGTGTTGGGTGCATACATATTTAGGGCAGTTAGGTCTTCTTGTTGAATTGACCCCTTTATTGAACTGACCCCTTTAACATTATATAATGTCCTTCTTTGTCTTTTTTTGATCTTTGTTAAAGTCTGTTTTGTCTGAAATTAGAACAGCAATATCTGCTTTTTTCTGTTTGCTTGGTAGATTTTTCTCCATCCCTTTGCTTTGAGCTTATGGGTATCATTACATGTGAGATGGGTTTCTTGAAGACAGCAAAATCTTGAGTTTTGCTTCTTTATTCAACTCGCCACTCTGTGGCTTTTAATTGGGGGCATTTATCCCATTTACATTCAACGTTAGTATTGATATGTGTGAATTTGATCCTGTCATCATGTTGTTAGCTGGTTATTATGCAAAGTTGATTGTGTGGTTGTTCATAGTGTCACTGGTGTATATACTTAAGTGTGTTTTTGTAGTGGCTGATAATGGTCTTTCTATATTTAACACTCCCTTCAGAACCTCTTGTAAGGCAGGTCTGGTGGTAACAAATTTCCTTAGCATTTGCTTGTCTGAAAATGATCTTATTTGTCCTTCACTTATAAAGCTTAGTTTGGCTGGATATGAAATTCTTGGTTGAAAATTATTTTAATTAAAGATGCTTAATATAGGCCTCCAATCTCTTCTGCTTTATAGGGATTCTGCTGACAGGTCTGCTGTTAGCCTGATGGGCTGGTTCCCTTTGTAGATGACCTGCCCCTTCTCTCTACTTGATTTACCATTTTTTCTTTCATTGCAATCTTGGAGAGTCTGATGTCTATGTGTCTTAGACGTGGTCTTCTTGTTTAGTATTTCACAGGGATTCTCTGCATTTCCTGAATTTGAACAATGGCCTCTCTAGCAAGGTTGGGGAAATTTTCAGTTATGATATCCTCAAATATGTTTTCCAAGTTGCTTGGTTTTTCTCCCTTTCTTTCAGGGACACCAGTGAATCACAGATTGGATCTCTTTACATAATTCCATATTTCTTGGAGATTTTTTGTTCATTCTTCTTTATTATTTTTTATTATTCTCTGACTATTTCAGAGAGCCAGTATTCATGCTCTGAGATTTTTCCCTCAGCTTGGTCTGTTCTGTTAATACTTGCAAATGCATTATGAAATTCTTATGGTGTGTTTTTTCAGTTTTATCAGATCACTTTGGTTCTTTCTTATAATGGCCATTTTATCTCTCAGCTTCTGTATTATTTTATTGTAATTCTTAGACTTTTTGGATTGGGTTTTGACCTTCTCCTGCATGTCAGTGATCTTTGTTCCTTCTATATTCTGAATTCTATTACTGTTATTTCAGCCATCTTGGCCTGGTTAAGAACCATTGCTGGGGAACTAGTGTGGTTGTTTGCAGGTAAGAAGACACGCTTCACTGGGCACAGTGACTCACTCCTGTAATCCCAGCACTTTGGGATGCCAAGATGGGCAGATCACTTGAGGTCAGGGGTTCAAGACCAGCCTGGCCAACATGGCAAAAACCCATTTGAAACCCTGTCTCTACTAAAAATACAAAAATTAGCCAGGTTTGGTGGCACATGCGTGTGGTCCCAGCTACTCAGGTGGCTGAGGCATGAGAATTATTTGAAACTAGAAGGCGGAGGTTGCAGTAAGCCGTGGTTCTGCCACTGCACTCCAGCCTGAGCGACAGAGAAAGGCTCTGTGGGAAAAAAAAAAAAAAAAAGACACTCTTGCTTTTTGAATTGTCAGAGCTCTCACGTGGGTTCTTTGTCATCTTCATAGGCTGATGTTCCTTCAGTCTTTGAAGTTGCTGTCCTTTGGATTTTTTTTATTCTATTTGATGTCCTTGGGGGTTGATTGTGGCATAAGCTGGAAGATTTTCAGGGGCCAACGCTTAGTTCAGGATTCATGGACTGCTTGTTCTAACTCTGGGAGCCTTTGGGCCCTTGACTTTGTTTTTAGCCCCTCATGTTTAGGAATCTGCTGCACTGAAGGAGCCAACGTGTTCCTGGTCCACTGGCCACAACATTCCAATAGGTGGTGCTGGCCAAAGTGCTTCATAGAGCAGTGGCAGTAGGACCTGTCCTCATTTGCATATGCCAGCAACAATGGCAGTGTGGTTGGGTACATGCTTTTTGGCTGCAGCAGGGGGTTGGTGGTTGCAGGGGTGCTGGCCTCCATGTGGGTGTTTGCAAAGGCAGCATCTGCAGTAGCAGCAACGGCAACACAGAACAGGGGAAGGGCCAGGATGTCCCTCCAGCATCCACACGTGCACTCATACCAGTGGCAGTGTTAGCACAGGAGCGGGGCACTGGTGGGCACAGGACTATGTGTGCCTTCTATGTGCATGTTCATGTGGGCAGCTGTGGCAGCACAGGGTGCAGGGTGAGTCCATGGTGACCATGCATAGTTCACCCTGGCAGCAGTGTTGGTGAAGGGGTGGGGTGCCAGCAAGTGTAGGGCTCTCTGTCTGTGTGCCTGCAAATGCTCTGATGGCAATGCCAGCACAGTGCAGGGGATGGGGGGGGGAGGTGCACTCATGCTGGCATCAGTGACCTGGCAGGGTCTACATGCTCCCACACACTGGTAGAGAAGTGGAGGCAATGTCTGCCCCTGCACACTCGTGCTGGCAAAACAATTTGGGCATTGGCTATAGGTGACCACGTACAGGCAAAGTGGCATGGGGGAGGCTGCAGTTGGGGAAGGGTGCAAGCAGACTGGTGCTGCTCTACTGAAGCTCTCTGCCAGTAAGTCACAATCCACCAGTGCAGGAACTATGCTGGGAGCCCCCCAAAAGGCACACCATGTGGGCATCCAAGGCTGCACTGCAAGCAGGTGCAGCCATGCTGTGGCCCCAAGAGAGACCAGCAGACCAAAGCGTGCTCAGGTCAGACCAGCCCCATCTCAAGGGCAAGACTGCCCTGCACTGTTCAGGTCTAACAGTTCCCCTTGGACTAAGGTCTCCTAGGGGAACAAGGTGAGCCTTGGGGATGGTCATCCCTGGCTGTGCTCCACTACAGATGCTCCCATACCAAACCCTCTGGGCTCCACATAGGCTGGAGTTCTGCCCCTACCACTTCTCTAAGCAGCTCTCTCTGCCACCTCAAGTGTCCATGGGGATCATGGCATCTCCTGCTGCCACGATTATAGAGACCCATGGCAAGAGCAGGTTGCTCCTTGCCTGTTCAACTCACTTATTCCCCAAGAGTTGTTGGGGACTAGGAATGAGTCCCAGTGCTGTTGCAAGCTTCACCTCCCCTCAGCCTAGCATCTGTATCTTCCCTCCATTCACTCTCAATATCTTCCCTCTGAAGGTCTGCTAGAAGTGCGCCCAGTCTGCCTGATGTCCTGATCCATCAGTGGCAAATGTTTCTCCTGACTGTGTCTACTCAACCATCTTAAGTTACTCCCCCTGAAAATTCTTTATATAGTCAATTAGGTTCCTCTATTATTTTATAATTTCTGAGTTTGCTATGTTGGTGAAAATGGTATCCTCAGCCTTAAAGTTGCACATGTAATCTCCTATGTTTTCTAATATTTTAAAATCTTTTTTCCCATTTATCTTTCATGCATCTGAAATTTTTATAGAGACATTTGGATTATGTGGATTATAATCCAAAATGGCACATACGGATTGCCAATTGTTCCAGTACCATTTATTAAGAAACTATTCTTTTCCACTAGATTGGAATGCCATTGTTTTCATATATTAAATTCACTCCATCCCCTGTTCCAAGTTGGCCAAACAGGAACAGCTCCAGTCTGCAGCTCCCAGCGTGATTGACGCAGAAGATGGGTGATTTCTGCAGGTACCTGGTTCATCTCATTGAGACTGGTTGGACAGTGGGTACAGCCCACAGAGGGCGAGCTGAAGCAGGGCAAGGTGTCGGGGCATTTCCAATGCACAAGGGGTCGGGGGATTTCCTTTCCTAGCCACGGGAAACCGTAACAGACTGTACGTGAAAAAAACGGGACACTCCTGCCCCAATATTGCACTTTCCCATGGTCTTAGCAACCGGCAGACCAGGAAGTTCTCTTCCATGCCTGGCTCAGTGGGTCCCACATCCACGGAGCCTTGCTCACTGCTAGCGCAGCAGTCTGAGATAGACCTGCAGGGGTGCAGCCTGGCTGGGGGAGGGGCATCTGCCATTGCTGAAGCTTCAGTAGGTAAACAAAGTGGCCGGGAAAGCTCTAACTGGCAGAGCTCACTGCAGCTCAGCAAGGCCTACTGCCTCTATAGACTCCACATCTGTGGGCAGGGCACAGCTGAACAAAAGGCAGCAGAAACTTCTGCAGACTTAAATGTCCCTGTCTGACAGCTCTGAAGATAGCAGTGGTTCTCCCAGCATGGTGTTTGAGCTCTGAGAAAGGAGAGACTGTCTCCTCAAGTGGGTCCCTGACCCCCGTGTACCCTAACTGGGAAAAACTTCCCAGTAGGGGCCAACAGACACCTCATACAGGCGGGTGTATCTGAGAATGGATAGACTGCCTCCTGAAGTAGGTCCCTGACCCCCATGTAGCCTAACTGGAAGACACCTCCCAGTAGGGGCCGACAGACACCTCATACAGGCGGGTGCTACTCTGGGATGAAGCTTCCAGAGGAAGGATCAGGCAGCAATATTTTCTGTTCTGCAATATTTGTTATTCTGCAGCATCCACTGGTGATACCCAGGCAAACAGGGTCTGGAGTGGACCTCCAGCAAATTCCAACAGACCTGCAGCTGAGGGACCTAACTGTTAGAAGGAAAACTAACAAACGAAAAGGAATAGCATCAACATCAACGAAAAGGACATCCACACCAAAACCCCATCTATAGGTCACCAACGTCAAAGACCAAAGGTAGATAAAACCACAAAGTTGGGGAGAAACCAGAGCAGAAAAGCTGAAAATTCTAAAAACCAGAGCGCCCCTTCTCCTCCAAAGGATCACAGCTCCTTGCCAGCAACAGAACAAAGCTGGACGGAGAATGACTTTGATCAATTAACAAAAGTAGGTTTCAGAAGGTCGGTAATAACAAACTTCTCTGAGCCAAAGGAGCATGTTCAAACCCATCACAAGGAAGCTAAAAACCTTGAAAAAAGGTTAGACAAATGGCTAACTAGAACAAACAGTGTAGAGAAGACCTTAAATGACCTGATGGAGCTGAAAACCATGGCATGAGAACTACATGACGAATGCACAAGCTTCAATAGCCGATTTGATCAAGTGGCAGAAAAGGTATCAGTGATTGAAAATCAAATTAATGAAATAAAGCAAGAAGAGAAGTTTAGAGAAAAACGAGTAAAAACAAACAAACAAAGCCTCCAAGAAATATGAGACTATGTGAAAAGACCAAACCTACGTTTGATTGGTGTACCTGAAAGTGACAGGGAGAATGGAACCAAGTTGGAAAACACTCTTCAGGATATTATCCGGAAGAACTTCCCCAAACTAGAAAGGCAGGCCAACATTCAAATTCAGGAAATACAGAGAACACCATAAAGAGAAGAGCAACCCCAAGACACATAATTGGCAGATTCACCAAGGTTGAAATGAAGGAAAAAAGGTTAAGGGCAGGCAGAGAGAAAGGTCGGGTTACCCACAAAGGGAAGCCCATCAGATTAACAGCGGATCTCTCAGCAGAAACCCTACAAGCCAGAAGAGAGTGGGGGCCAATATTCGACATTCTTAAAGAAAAGAATATTCAACCCAGAATTTCATATCCAGCCAAACTAAGCTTCCTAAGTGAAGGAGAAATAAAATCCTTTACAAACAAGCAAATGCTGAGAGATTTTGTCACCACCAGGCCTGCCTTACAAGAGCTCCTGAAGGAAGCACTAAACGTGGAAAGGAACAACTGGTACCAGCCACTGAAAAAACATGCCAAATTATAAAGACCATTGATGCTATGGAGAAACTGCATCAATTAATGGGCAAAATAACCAGCTAACATCATAATGACAGGATCAAATTCACATATAACAATATTAACCTTAAATGTAAATAGGCTAAATGCCCCAATTAAAAGACACAGACTGGCAAATTGGATAAAGAGTCAAGACCCACTGGTGTGCTGTATTCAGGAGAACCAGCTCACGTGCAGACACACATAGGCTCAAAATAAAGGGATGGAGGAAGATCTACCAATCAAATGGAAAGCAACAAAAAGCAGAGGTTGCAATCCTAGTCTCTGGTAAAACAGACTTTAAACCAACAAAGATCAAGACAGACAAAGAAGGTCATTACATAATGATAAAGGGATCAATTCAACAAGAAAAGCTAAGTATCCTAGGTATATGCGCACCCAATACAGGAGCACCCAGATTCATAAAGCAAGTCCTTAGAGACCTACAAAGAGTAGGTCTCTAACAAGGCAGAAGGTTAACAAGGATATCCAGGACTTGAACTCAGCTCTGCACCAAGCAGACCTAATAGACATCTACAGAACTCTCCACCCCAAATCAACAGAATATACATTCTTGTTAGCACCACATCGCACTTATATTAAAATCGAACACATAATTGGAAGTAAAGCACTCCTCAGCAAATGTAAAATAATACAAATCACAACAAATTGTCTCTCAGACCACAGTGCAATCAAATTAGAACTCAGGATTAAGAAACTCACTCAAAACTGTGCAACTACATGGAAACTGAGCAACTGCTCCTGATAGACTACTGGGTAAATAATGAAATGAAGGCAGAAATAAAGGTGTTCTTTGAAACCAATGAGAACAAAGACACAACATAACAGAATCTCTGGGACACATTTAAAGCAGTGTGTAGAGGGAAATTTATAGCACTAAATGCCCAAAAGAGAAGGCAGGAAAGATCTAAAATTGACACCCTAACATCATAATTAAAAGAATGAGAGAAGCAAGAGCAAACTAACTCAAAAGCTAACAGAAGGCAAGAAATAATTAAGATCAGAGCGGAACTGAAGGAGATAGAGACACAAAAAAACCCTTCAAAAAAATCAATGAATCCAGGAGCTGGTTTTTTGAAAAGATCAACAAAATTGATAGACTGCTAGCAAGACTAGTAAAGAAGAAAAGAGAGAAGAATCAAATAGACGCAATAAAAATTGATAAAGGGGATATCACCACTGATCTCACAGAAATACAAACTACCATCAGAGAATACTACAAACAGCTCTACACAAGTAAACTAGAAAATCTAGAAGAAATGGATACATTCCTGGACACATACACCCTCCCAAGACTAAACCAGGAAGAAGCTGAATCCTTGAATAGACCAATAACAGGATCTGAAATTGAGGCAATAATTAATAACCTACCCACGAAAAGAAGTCCAGGACCAGACGGATTCACAGCCAAATTCTACTGGAGGTACAAAGAGGAGCTGGTACTATTCTTTCTGAAACTACTCCAATCAGTAGAAAAAGAGGGAATCCTCCCTAACTCATTTTATGAGTCCAGCATCATCCTAATACCAAAGCCTGGCAGAGACACAACAAAAAAAGAGAATTTTAGACCAATATCCCTGATGATTATCAATGCGAAAATCCTCAATAAAATATTGGCAAACTGAATCCAGCAGCACATCAAAAAGCTTATCCACCATGGTCAAGTTGGCTTCATCCCTGGGATGCAAGGCTGGTTCAACATACTCAAATGAATAAACATAATGCATCATGTAAACAGAACCAACGACAAAAACCACATGATTATCTCCATAGATGCAGAAAAGGCCTTTGACAAAATTCAACAGCACTTCAAGCTAAAAACTCTCAATAAACTAGGTATTGATGGAATGTATCTCAAAATAATAAGAGCTATTTATGACAAACCCACACCCAATATCATACTGAATGGGCAAAAACTGGAAGCATTCCCTTGGAAAACCAGCATGAGATAAGGATGCCCTCCCTCACCACTCCTATTCAACATAGTGTTGGAAGTTCTGGCCAGGGCAATCAGGCAAGAGAAAGAAATAGAGACTATTCAATTAGGAAAAGAGGAAGTCAAATTGCCCCTTTTGCAGATGACATGATTGTGTATTTAGAAAACCCCATTGTCTCAGCCCAAAATCTTCTTAAGCTGATAAGCAACTTCAGCAAAGTCTCAGGATACAAAATCAACGTGCAAAAATCACAAGCATTCTTATACACCAATAACAGGCAAACATCCAAATCATGAGCGAACTCCCATTCACAATTGCTACAAAGAGAATAAAATACCCAGGAATCCAACTTACAAGGGATGTGAAGGACCTCTTCAAGGAGAACTACAAACACTGCTCAACTAAATAAATGAGGACACAAACAAATGGAAGAACATTCTATGTTCATGGATAGGAAGAATCAATATCGTGAAAATGGCCATACTGCCCCAGGTAATTTATAGATTGGATGCCATCCCCATCAGGCTACCAATGACTTTCTTCATGCAATTGGAAAAAACTACTTTAAAGTTCATAAGGAACCAAAAAGAAGCCCACATTGCCAAGACAATCATAAGCAAAAAGAACAAAGCTGGAAGCATCACGCTACCTGACTTCAAACTATACTACAAGGCTACAGTAACCAAAACAGCATGGTACTGGTACCAAAACGGAGATATAGACCAATGGAACAGAACAGAGTTCTCAGAAATAATACCACACATCTACAATCATCTGATTTTTGACAAACCTGACAAAAACAAGAAATGGGGAAAGGATTCCTTATTTAATAAATGGTGCTGGGAAACTGGTTGGCCATATGTAGAAAGCTGAAACTGGATCTCTTCCTTATGCTTTATACAAAAATTAATTCAAGATGGATTGAAGACTCAAATGTTAGACCTAAAACTATAAAAACCCTGGAAGAAAACCTAGGCAATACCATTCAGGACATAGGCATGGGCAAGGACTTCGTAACTAAAACACCAAAAGCAATCACAGCAAAAGCCAGAATAGACAAATGGGATCTAATTAAACTAAAGAGCTTCTGCACAGCAAAAGAAACTACCATCAGAGTGAACAGGCAACCTACAGAATGGGGAGAAAATCTTTGCAATCTACCCATCTGACAAAGGGCTAACATGCAGAATCTAAAAAGAATTTAAACAAATTCACAAGAAAAAACAACCCCATCAAAAAGAGGGCAAAGGATATGAACAGACACTTCTCAAAAAAGGACATTTATGCAGCCAACAGACACATGAAAAAATGCTCATCATCACTGGTCATCAGAGAAATGCAAATCAAAACCACAACAAAATACCATCTCACGCCAGTTAGAATGGCAATCATTAAAAAGTCAGGAAACAACAGATGCTGGAGAGCATGTGGAGAAATAGGGACACTTTTACACTGTTGGTGGGAGTGTAAATTAGTTCAACCATTGTAGAAGACAGTGTGGCGATTCCTCAAGGTTCAAGAACTAGAAATACCTTTTGACCCAGCGATCCCATTACTGGGTATATTCCCAAAGGATTATAAATCATGCTACTAGAAAGACACATGGACAAGTATGTTTACTGCAGCACTATCCACAATATCAAAGACTTGGAACTAACCCAAATGTTTGTCAATGATAGACTGGATTAAGAAAATGTGGCACATATGCACCATGGAATACTACGCAGCCATAAAAAGGATGAGTTCATGTCCTTTGCATGGGCATGGATGAAGCTGGAAACCATCATTCTCAGCAAACTGTCACAAGGACAGAAAAACCAAACACCACATGTTCTCACTCAAAGGTGGGAATTGAACAATGAGAACACTTGGATACAGGGTGGGGAACATCACACACTGGGGCCTGTTGTGGGGTGGGGGACTGGGGGAGGGATAGCATTAGGAGAAATACCTAATGTAAATGATGAGCTGATGGTGCAGCAAACCAACATGGCACATGTATACCTATGTATCAAGCCTGCACGTTGTGCACATGTACCCTAGAACTCAAAGTATAATAAAAATAAATAAATAAATAAATTCACTCATGTATCAACATCTATTTCTGGGCTCTTATCTTTCTTTTTTTTTATTTTAATTTTTTAACAATGTGAGGCAAACTTCCTGAACATTATCTAATTTCATAATAATCTTGGCCATTCTCAGGCACTTATTCTTCCATAGCAATGTTAACATGATCCCCCACGCCAACTCTTCAAAACAAAAACAAATGAGAATTGATTGAATTGATATTTTGAGTGATATTAAGTCTTCTTTTCCAAGAACATGGTACATTTCAGTTTGATCAGATTTTGTCTTTCATTAAGGTTTGATACTTCTCTGAGCATACATTCTACACCATTTATGCCAGATTTATTTCAAAAATTTTATCATTTGTATCATTATGTGTACAGAATCATTTCTTATAGTTTGTTGTAACTAGTAGATAAGTCTGTTAACTTTGCATATTTATCTCTTATTAAGCTACTCTATTAACTCTATTACTAGCTAGTAGTTCTTTTACTAAACTCTGTTTGTGATATGTATACAATAATGTTATCAATTGAAGGAAATTCTATTTTTGTAATATTTATTATTTTTATTTTACTTTTGAATTTACCTGAACTTCCAAAACAGTGTTGATTTTAATGGAAATGGCTTTAGTGTTATACCACCAAAAGTGATGTTAGTTTTTGGTAAATAATTTGGTGTTAGTTTTTATAAGTAATTTTTATTATATTTAAGGAGTTTTCTTATATTCCTAGCTTCAACTATAGCTTTTATTAAGAATAGCTGCTGAATTTTATTGTGATTTTTGAAATTTATTAAAATTATCATAATATTTTTCTCCTTTAATGTGCTCATTAATCAATTACGTTTATAAATATCAGGCACAGGACCAACTATGCATTCCTAGAATAAACCCTACTTGATCATAAAATAATCTTCTTTTGAGGTACTGCTGGATTCTAATGGATAATATTTTATGTATCATTTTTATATTTGTCTTGACAAATGAGAATGGTGTCTAGCACATTTATTTTTCCATCATTTAATAAAGTTATTTTGCTAAGGTTATAGTTATGTCATAAAATAAATTACAAACACTTTCTTTCTCTAAATGGTTTGGAACAGTTTTAATAATATTGGAATTATCTTTTTAAAACATATTAAATAAAACTCAGCTTTGAAACTATCTGGCAGATTTCAGATCAATTTTATATAATCTCTTCTTTTATAATTGGTTTAAATTTTCTATGTCTTGAGTTAGGATTGGTAGCTTATATTTTGCTATGAAATAATTCATTTTGAATTGAATGAAAATGAAATTACAATTTATCAAAATTTGTCGAATGTAGCTAAAGTATTGCTTGGGGAAATGTATACCATTGAAAGCTTATACAGTCATGCATCACTTAACAACAGAGACACATTCTAAGAAATGCATCATTAGGCAATTTCATTGTAGTGTAAACATCACAGAGTGTATATAAATCTAAATAGTATAGCCTACTACATACCTAGGCTATATAGCATAGCCCATTGCTCCTAGGCTACAAACCTGTACAGCATGTTACTGCACTGAATACTGTAGGCAATTGTAACACAATGGCATTTATGTATCTAAACATACGTAAACATAGAAAAGGTACAATGAAAATACAGTATAAAAGATTTTTCAAACGGTATACCTGTGTAGGGCACTTACCATAAATAGAGCTTACAGGACTAGAAGTTGCTCTGGGTGAGTCAGTGAGTAAGTGGTGGTAAATGTAATGGCCTAGGATATTATTGTACACAACTGTAGACTTTATAAACAGTGTACACTTAGACTACACCAAATTTATTTTAAAATATTTTTCAATAATAAATTAAACTTAGGTTACCATATCTTTTTTTGCTTTATAAGCTTTTAATCTTTTTAACTTTTGACTTTTGTAATAACACTTAGCTTAAAATACAAACACATTGTACCACTATACAAAAGTATTTTTTTATCCTTATTCTATAAGCTTTTTTCTATTTCTTTTTTACCTTTTAACTTTTTTGTTAAAAACTAAAACACAAACACACAAATACTTAGTTTTGTTAAAATCTAAGACACACCAGCCTAGGCCTACACAGCCTCAGAATCAATATCACAGTCTTCCACTTTCATATCTTGTCCTACTGGAAGGTCTAGAGGGACAGTAACAGGCATAGAGAGCTGCTATCTTCTATGAAAACAATGCCTTCTTCTGGGGTATCTTCTGAAGATCATGCCTGAGCCTATTTTACAGTTAAGTTTTTTTTAAATAGGAGTACACCCTAACATAATGAAAAAGAGTATAGTATAGTAAACACAAAAATCACTAACACGGCCATTCATTATTATGTACTATATATAATTGTATTGCTACACTTTTACACTACTGGCAACACAGTAGGTTTGTTTACATCAGCATCACAACAAACACATGAATAATATGTAGTGCTATGCCCTTAAAATGGCTACATCACTAGGCAAGAGGAATTTTTCAGTTCCATTATAATCTTATGGGACTACTGATGCATATTGACCAAAATGTTGTCATGCAGCACGACTGTATTAGAAAAGAAGAAAAGTCTCAAATCACTAATCTAAGCTTCAACCTTAAGAAATTAGAGAGGAGGAAATGCCAACTCAAAGAAAACAGAAAAAAGAAATAATAAAGAGCAGAAATAAATGAATTTTTAAAAAAGAAAAAAAATCAATGAAACCAAAAGCTACTTTTAAAAAATTGTCAGTGAAACTGATAAATTTCTAGCTGGTTTGAGGAAGAAAAAAGAGGAAAGGACAAAATTATTGATATAAAAGAGGCCATCACTGCAAAGTCCACAGACATTAAAAAACACAAAACAACAACAAAAGCCCACAACACTAAGAGAATATTATGAAAAACTCTATGCCTATACATTTGAGAACTAAGATAAAAATTAACCAAATTCTTGAAAAGCACAAGTTATTAAAACTAAATTAAAGGAATAGATAACTGAGTGTCCTATGTTTATTAAAGGAGTTAAAGTTGTCATTGAAAATCCTTTCAGCAACAGTAAACAAAAAAACTTTAGGCCCAGATAGTGTCAACTAATAAATAAATCCACAAATACTTGTGGATGAAATATTATTTCTACACAATATCATTCAGAAAATGGAAGAGATCAATTTCTAACTCATTTAATGAAGCCAGCATTACCATAATTTAAAAACCAGACAAAGACATTACATGAAAAGAAAACTGAAGATCTTGGTCCCTCATGAATGTAGATGCAAATATCATCAACAAAATATTAACAAATCAAATATTACATTGCATAAAAAGGGCACTATATCACAACCAAGTGGGATTTATCTCTGGAATGCAAGGCTGATTTGCCACATTAACAAACTGAAGCAGGAAAAATCACCTGATTAAATAGTTTGAAAAAATTGAACAATATTCAACATCCATTCATGGTAAAGACTCTGATTAGACTTGGATAAAAAGAAAATTTACATAACATGATCAAGGACACTTGTATGAATCCTACACAAACATAATATTTAATGGTGAAAAACTGAATATCCTCCCCTCCCCTAAGATCAGAAACAAAGCAAGGATGTCATTCTCACCACTTCTATTCAACACCATACTGACATTCTTAGCCAGTAAGACTTAAAAGGAAAAAAATAAAGCACATAGTTTGGAAAGAAAGAAATAAAACTCTCTGTAACCACAGTTCCCAAGATTTCTTATGCAGAAGATTCTAAAGAATCTTTAAAAAAACCCATACATTTTAAAACTGTGAGTTTTCCAAAACACAAGTCAATTTTAAAAACTCAATTGTATTTCTGTATACTAACAGTAAATAATTAGAATTTAAAATAAAAAATGACTACATTTAATTATACCAAAAAAGAAAAATACACTTATGTATAATCATGTAACAAATTTTGTGCAGGAACTCTATGCTGAAAACCAGAAAATATTTGTGAAAGAAATCAAAGAATACCCAAACAAATGAAGAGATGTATTATGTTCATGGATTGAAAGATTTAATACTGTTAAAAAAATATATTTCCCCCAATTTGGTCCCAGCCAAAATTCCAGTAAGCTTTTACACAGATATCCCCAAAATGATTCTAAAATATATATAGAAAAACCGTGGAATCGAACAGCAAAAACAATTTTAAAAAAGAACAAGTTGGAGAACTCACACTATCTAACTTCAAGAATTATTGTAGAGCTATAATAATCAAATCAGCGTGATATTAGTGAAAGATCAATAAAACTGAAGAGAGAGTTCCAAAATAGACCTATGCAAATATAGTCAACTGAATTTTTACAATGATACAAACACAATTTAATGGAGCAAAAGTAGTATTTTAGCAAAGAGTGCAAAACAATTGGATATTCACATGCAAAACAATGAACTTTGGCCTGAATCTTATAAACATTATATAAAAATTAACTCAAAAGTGATCTAGATCTAAATGCAAATGATAAAACTGCAATTTCTAGGAGACATCAGAGATTTTGGATTGGCAAAGCATTTTAAAAATATAGCAGTAACCACTAGACCAACCTTACGAGAGATCCTTAAGTAATTTCTAAACATGAAAATGAAAGAATGATATCTGCTACCACAAAAACATGCTTAAGTACACAGCCCACAGACCCTATAAAGCAAGTACATAATAGAAACTACAAAGCAACCAACTAACAACTTCAAAGCAACTGGCTAATAACTTCATGATAGGATCAAAACCTCACATATCAATATTAACCTTGAATGTAAATGGTCTAAACACCCCACTTAAAAGGCACGGAGTGGAAAGCTGGATTAAAAAAACAAGACCTGGCCAGGCACAGTGGCTCATGCCTGTAATCCCAGCCCTTTGGGAGGCTGAGGCGGGCGGATCATGAGGTCAGGAGATCGAGACCATCCTGGCTAACACAGTGAAACCCCGTCTCTACTAAAAATACAAAAAATTAGCCAGGCGTGGTCGTGGGTGCCTGTAGTCCCAGCTACTCAGGAGGCTGAGGCAGGAGAATGGCATGAACCCAGGAGGCAGAGCTTGCAGTGAGCCGAGATAGTGCCACTGCACTCCAGCCTGGGTGACAGAGCAAGACTTCGCAAAAAAAAAAAAAAAAAAAGACCTATCTGTCTGCTGTCTTCAGGAGACCCATCTCACATATAATGATACCCATAGGCTCAAAATAAAAGGTTGAAGAAAGATCTATCATGACAACAGAACACAAAAAGGAGCAGGGGTCACTATTCTTATATCGGATAAAACAGACTTTAAACCAACAGAAGTCAAAAGGAACAAAGAACGGCATTATATAATGATAAAGGATTCAATTCAACAAGAAGACTTTGCCAAAATACTTACACACCCTACACTGGAATAGCCAAATTCATAAAAGGAGTACTTCTAGACCTACAAGAAGTCATAGACAGCCACAAAATAATAGTGGGGGACTTCAACACCCAACTGACAACATTCTGCCTTACTTCATCAAGGCAGAAAACTCACAAAGAAACTTTGGACTTAAAAATTTGACATTCGACCAATTAGATCTAGTAGATATACACAGAATACTCCACCCATCAACCACAGAATACACATTCTTTTCATCTACACACAGAACATACTCCAAGACTGACCACAGGCTTGGCCATAAAGAATGTTTCAATAAAATTTTTTTTTTTTTTTTTTTTGAGACAGAGTCTCGCTGTCGCCCAGGCTGGAGTACAGTGGCACGATCTCGGCTCAAAATCATACCAACCATACTCTCGGATCTCAGTGCAATTAAAATAGAGATCAATACCAAGATATTTTAAAATCACACGATTACATGGCAATTAAACAAATTCCACTTGAATGATTTTTGGGTAAACAACAACATTAAGGCAGAAATCAAAAAATTCTTTGAAAGAAATGAAAACAGAGACACAACATACCAAAATCTCTAAGATGCAGCAAAAGCACTGCTAACAGGAAACATGAGAAAGATCTCAAATTAACAATCTAACATCACACAGAGAAACTAGGAAAACAAGAATAAACTCACCTCAAAGCTAGCAAAAGACAAGAAATAACTAAAATCAGAGCAGAAGTGAACAAAATTGAAACCCAAAAATCCATACAAAAAAATCAGTGAAACCAAAAGTGTGTTTTTTGAAATAATAAACAAGATTGCTAGAATGCTAACTAGATTGACAAAGAAAAGAGAGAAAAATCAAATAAGCACAACCAGAAACAACAAAGTTGACATTACAACCTATCCCACAAAATACAAAAGATCATTAGATACTATTATGAACACCTCTATGCATACAAACTAGAAAATCTAGGGAAAATGGTAAATTCCTGGAAGCACACAACCTCCTACTATTGAATCAGGAAGAAATTGAAACCCTGAACAGACTAATAACAAGTTCCAAAATTGAATCAGCAAGAAAAACCTACCAATCAGAAAAGCCCTGAAAAAGTAGGATTCACATCCAAATTCTACCAGATGTACAAAGAAGAGCTGGTACCAATCTTACTGAAACTCTTCCAAAAGGTGAGGAGTGACTCCTCCTTAACTCATTCTATGAAGCCAGCATCACCTTGATACTAAAACCTGACAAAGACACAGTGAAAAAAGAAAACTGCAGGCCAATAACCCTGATGATGCAAAAATGCTCAACGAAGTACTAGCAAACCAAATCCAGCAGCACATCAAAAAATTAGTTCACCATGATCAAGTAGACTTCATTCCTGGGATGCAAGACCAGTTCAACAAACACAAATCAATACATGCATAATAAACAGAAATAAAAACAAAAACCATATGATCATCTGAATAGACACAGGAAAAACAACTTTTAGTAAAATCCAACACTCCTTCATGATAAAAACCCTCAAGAAACTAGATATTGAAGGAACATATCTCAAAATAATGAGTCATTTGTGACAAACCCACAGCCAACATCATACTAAATGGGCAAAAGCTGGAAGCATTCCCCTGGAAAACTAAAACAAAACAAGGATGCCCATTCTTACCACTCCTATTCAACATAGTCCTGAAAGTCCTAGCCACAGCAATGAGGCAAGAGAAAGAAATATAAGGCATCCAAATAGGAAAAGAAGTCAAACTATCTCTCTTCACTGATGATATGACTCTCCACCTAGAAAACCCTATAGGCCATGCCAAAACTCTCCTGAACTGATAAATGACTTAGTAAAGTTTCAGGAAACAAAATAATATACAAAAATCCGTAGCATTTTTATACACGAATAACGTTCAAGCTGAATGCCAAATTCAGAACACACTCCCATTTACAATAGCCATAAACAAAAAAAATCTAGAAATACATCTAACCGAACAGGTAAAATATCTCTACAAGAACTACAAAACACTGCTAAAAGAAATTACAGGTAACACAAACAAATGGAAAAACATTCCAAGCTCATGGTTTGGAACAATTAATATTGCTAAAATGGTCATACTCTCCAAAGCAATAGAAAGATTCAATGATATTCCTATCAAGTCTAACAATGTCACTTTTCACAGAACTAGAAAAAAACTATTTATTCTCTAGGGACTAGCCAAACAAAAGGCAGCAGAAACCTCTGCAGACTTAAATGTCCCTGTCTGACAGCTTTGAAGAGAGCAGTGGTTCTCCCAGAACGAGTTTGAGATCTGAGAACGGACAGACTGCCTCCTCAAGTGGGTCCCTGACCCCCAACTAGCCTAACTGGGAGGCACCCCCCAGGAGGGGTGGACTGACACCTCACACTGACACCCTCTGAGAGGAAGCTTCCAGAGGAACGATCAGGCAGCAACATTTGCTGTTCAGCAATATTCACTGTTCTGCAGCCTCCGCTGCTGATACCCAGGCAAACAGGGTCTGGAGTGGACCTCCAGCAAACCCCAACAGACCTGCAGCTGAGGGTCCTGACTCTTAGAAGGAAAACTAACAGAAAGGACATCCACACCAAAACTCCATCTGTACATCACCATCATCAAAGACCAAAGGTAGATAAAACCACAAAGATGGGGAGAAAACAGAGCAGAAAAGCTGAAAATTCTAAAAATCAGAGCGCCTCTCCCCCTCCAAGGAATGCAGCTCCTCACCAGCAACGGAACAAAGCTGAATGGAGAATGACTTTGACTTTGATGAGTTGAGAGAAGAAGGCTTCAGACGATCAAACTTCTCCGAACTAAAGGAGGAAGTTGAAACCGAACTAAAGGAGGAAGTTCAAACCCATCTCAAAGAAGCTAAAAACCTTGAAAAAAGGTTAGACGAATGGCTAACTAGAATAACCAGTGTAGAGAAGTCCTTAAATGACCTGATGGAGCTGAAAACCATGGCATGAGAACTACGTGACGAATGCACAAGCTTCAGTAGCCGATTTGATCAACTGGAAGAAAAGGTATCAGTGACTGAAGATCAAATTAATGAAATGAAGCAAGAAGAGAAATTTAGAGAAAAAAGAGTAAAAAGAAATGAACAAAGCCTCCAAGAAATATAGGACTATGTGAAAAGACCAAATATATGTCTGACTGGTGTACCTGAAAGTGACAGGGAGAATGGAACCAAGTTGGAAAACACTCTGCAGGATATTATCCAGGAGAACTTCCCCAACCTAGCAAGGAAGGCCAACATTCAAATTCAGGAAATACAGAGAACACCACAAAGATACTCCTCGAGAAGAGCAACTCCAAGACACATAATTGTCCAATTCACCGAAGTTGAAATGAAGGAAAAAATGTGAAGGGCAGCCAGAGAGAAAGGTCGGGTTACCCACAAAGGGAAGCCCATCAGACTAACAGTGGATCTCTCGGCAGAAACTCTGCAAGCCAGAAGAGAGTGGGGGCCAATATTCAACATTCTTAAAGAAAAAAACTATTCTAAAATTCATATGGAACCAAAAAAGAGGTCAAATAGCAAAGACACTTCTAAGAAAGAAGAACAAAGCCAAAGGCATCACACTACCCAACTTCAAACTATAACACAAGGCTACAGTAACCAAAACAACATGGTCGTGGTACGAAAACAAACACATAGACCAATGGAACAGAATATAGAACCAAGAAATAAAGCTGCATACCTACAGCCATCTGATTTTTAACAAAGTTGACAAAAATAAGCAATAGGAAAAGAACTCCCTATTCAATAAATGGTGATGGGATATCTGGCTAGCCATATGCAGAAGAATGAAGCTGAACCCTTACCTTTCACCATATACAAAAATGATCTGAAGATGAAGTAAATATTTAAATGTAAAACCTCAAACTGTAAGAATCCTATAAGAAAACCAAGGAAATACCATTCTGGGCATCAGCCTTGGGAAATAACTTATGAGTAAGTCCTCAAAAGCAATTGCAACAAAAACAAACATTGAGAAGTGGGACCTGATTATACTAAAGAGCTTCTGCTCAGCAAAAGAAATTATCAACAGAGTAAACAGATAACATACAGAATGGGAGAAAATATTTGCAAACTATACATCCAACAAAAGTCTAACATCCAGAATCTGTAAGGAATTTAAACAATTGAAACTGGGAATGATGAAAGTGATTACAAAGGGACAGCAGCACAAGGGTATTTTTTGATCAATGGAGCTGTTTTGTGTAACTGTACTTGTGGATATATGGTTTATGCATTTGTTAAATACTAAATGGGCAAAAGAGTTCATTCAAAGAGTGAATTCTACTGTATGCAAATTTTAAAAATAAAACAAGATGTCAGCAAAACCCAAGATGAAATGCAAACTATGACAAGTGAATCTAACCATATTACAATAAGTGACTTAGCCACACTGAAGGGGATGAGACAAAAAAGGAACTGACCTAAGTAAGTTTGCAAAAGGGTGTATTCACTGGGTACTGTTAAGGCTAAAATAAAGAAGAACTGTATACCAACACTGTGCTCTAGTTGGTCAACTTGTCTCTCAGGAAAGTATGGGTTAGCAAGTCTGAAACTATTTTACGTATAACAAATACGTAAACATATTTTAGATTACAAAAAGCAGTTTTCTTACTGTTAGAGGAAGAAACTATAAGCAAATTACAAATGCTAGAATGAACTGTTTGGTGCTAGATTAGAGTTGAAAATTTTAATACGAACTTGTGTTTTTTTTTTTCAAAACTGTATGTATGTTTACGTGTGTATGTATGAATATAAAACTAGCAAAATAATACGTATTTTAAAACCGGAACCTGTATGTAAATGCTTATACAGTAACAGCTTTATTTATAATCACCAAAAACTGGAAACTACCCATGGATCCTTCAACAGGTGAATATCTATCTATCTATCTATCTATCTATCTATCTATCTATCTATCGATCTATCTATCTAGATATAGATGTATGTAGAATCAATCTTGTGAAAATGGCCATACTGCCCAAGGTAATTTATAGATTCAATGCCATCCCCATCAAGCTACCAATGACTCTCTTCACAGAATTGGCAAAAACTACTTTAAAGTTCATATGGAACCAAAAAAGAGCCCGCATCACCAAGTCAATCCTAAGCCAAAAGAACAAAGCTGGAGGCATCATGCTATCTGACTTCAAACTATACTACAAGGCTACAGTAACCAAAACAGCATGGTACTGGTACCAAAACAGAGATATAGACCAATGGAACAGAACAGAGCCCTCAGAAATAATGCTGCATATCTACAACCATTTGATCTTTGATAAACTTGACAAAAACAAGAAATGGGGAAAGGATTCCCTATTTAATAAATGGTGCTGGGAAAACTGGCTAGCCATATGTAGAAAGCTGAAACTGGATCCCTTCCTTACACCTTAGACAAAAATTAATTCAAGACGGATTAAAGACTTAAATGTTAGACCTAAAACCATAAAAACCCTAGAAGAAAACCTAGGCAATACCATTCAGGACATAGGCATGGGCAAGGACTTCATGTCTAAAACACCAAAAGCAATGGCAACAAAAGCCCAAATTGATGAATGAGATCTAATTAAACTAAAGAGCTTCTGCACAGCAAAAGAAACTACCATCAGAGTGAACAGGCAACTTACAGAATGGGAGAAAAATTTTGCAATCTACTCATCTGACAAAGGGCTAATATCCAGAATCTACAAAGAACTAAAACAAATTTACAAGAAAAAAACAAAAAACCCATCAAAAAGTGGGCAAAGGATATGAACAGACACTTCTCAAAAGAAGACATTTATGCAGCCAACAGACACATGAAAAAATGCTCATCATCACTGGCCATCAGAGAAATGCAAATCAAAACCACAATGAGATACCATCTCACACCAGTTAGAATGGCGATCATTAAGAAGTCAGGAAACAACAGGTGCTGGAGAGGATGTGGAGAAACAGGAACACTTTTACACTGATGGTGGGACTGTAAACTAGTTCAACCATTGTAGAAGACAGTGTGGCGATTCCTCAAGGATAAAGAACTAGAAATACCATTTGACCCAGCCATCCCATTACTGGGTATATACCCAAAGGATTATATATCATGCTACTATAAAGACACATGCACATGTATGTTTATTGCAGCACTCTTCACAATAGCAAAGACTTGGAACCAACCCAAATGTCCACCAATGATAGACTGGATTAAGAAAATGTGGCACATATACACCATGGAATACTATGCAGCCATAAAAAAGGATGAGTTCATGTCCTTTGTAGGGACATGGATGAAGCTGGAAACCATCATTCTCAGCAAACTATCGCAAGGACAAAAATCCAAACACTGCATGTTCTCACTCATAGGTGGGAATTGAACAATGAGAACACATGGACACAGGAAAGCGAACATCACACCCCGGGGCCTGTCGTGGGGTTGGGGGTGGGGGCGGTAAGGAAAGCATTAGGAGATATACCTAATGTAAATGACAAGTTAATGGGTGCAGCACACCAACATGGCACATGTATACATATGTAACAAACCTGCACATTGTGCACCTGTACCCTAGAACTTAAAGTAAAATAAATAAATAAAGAAATAAATATAGATGTATGTGTTAATATATATTTATATGTTTTCCAGGTCTGTCTAGAAGTAGAGACACCTTAGAAGCAACAAGCATATCTAGTGCTGAGATCTTGGTTTTACATACAATCCTCTAATATAAGGAACCAGACTTTCATTGAAGAAATGGTCAAGTCCAGGGGTATGGACAAGAGCATACAAGCATCTTGTCATGTCAAAAATTAAGTGCTAAAACTTAAACAAAAATTAAAAGTATAGTCATGTCAAAAGGACATAGAAGCCAATCTGGTGGACCTCCTAATGAGCAAATATGGAATAATTTGAACAAATGATAGTATTGGATAATGGGTCAGAAAATAAAATAAATATCCATGAATCCATACTGATACAAATAAATGATTGAATCAATAAATAGAGGATCAAGAAAAGTTCTTCACAAGAATTTCAATTAATAATTGTAGAAGGAATGAAGAAAATAGAAAACCACCATTAAAAAAACACTACAGTAATAATCAATGCACGCAATATCCTCCAATGAATGCTAAAATTAGTAGGTGAAAGTTTAATGAGAAATGGGATTATCCGAGTAGCCTCAAAGTTATCTTCCTCCCAAATATTTATTAATTTTTGTTTGTTTGTTTGTTTTGAGACAGAGTCTTGCTCTGTCGCCCAGACTGGAATGCAGTGGCCTGACCTCGGCTCACTGCAAACTCCGCCTCCCAGGTTCACGCCATCTATTCTCCTGCCTCAGCCTCCCAAGTAGCTGGGACTACAGGCGCCCACCACCACGCCCGGCTAATTTTTTGTATTTTTAGTAGAGATGGGGTTTCACCGTGTTAGCCAGGATGGTCTCAATCTCCTGACCTCGTGATCAGCCTGCCTCGGCCTCCCAAAGTGCTGGGATTACAGGCGTGAGCCACCGCACCCGGCATATTTATTAATTTTAAAGAGAAAAATGGTAAGGTTGGAGTGGAAAAAATCTGTCAGACACCACTTTAACCAAGTGATCAAGGTTAACATCACCAGTAAAAAACCGTATCAACATCATATACCCACTGATATGAGGTACTGAGGAGGGCAAATTCCCCAAAATCCGTAACTTGAATCTGATCACAAGAAAACATCAAACAAACCCAACTTGGGAGACATTTTATGAAGTACCTGGTCAGTACTCCTCAAACGTGTCAAGGTCAAGAAAGACAAGGAATGACTGAGAAATTAGCACCAACTGGAGACTAGTGAAATCTGACAACTAACTGGCAATGTGGTATCCTGGATTAGGTGCTGAACAGACACACTACACACATACAAAGAACACTAGTGGAAAAACTGGTGAAAACTAAATAAAGTCTGTAGTTTAGTTAATAGTATTATGCCAATGCTAATTTCTTATTTTTGATAGTTGTACCATGGTCACGTGGGGAAGGCTGGATGAAGGGTAGATAGGAACTCTTTGTACTACGAAACCCCTCAATAAGTCTAACCTTTTTCCAACTAAAATGTTAAAAATAACATTTTAGTTATAGTTATTCTTTAGTTATAAAGAATTATTTCTATATCTCTCTGGCTGATACATTGTTTAGTATATATAGCTTTATGAGTTTTTGTGATTTTTGAAAACTCTACCTTTATAATCATATAACATCCTTTTTAACCTATTTAACATAATTATTCTTATATTCCACCCTACCTGGTATTAATATTTGTTTTAATTTGCCTTGCATTTTTCACCCCCCCCCCCCAACAAAGGTACATCCGCTTTACCCTAAATGTTCTTTATCACTTTAAATGTCAAGTAATGTAAAACAAATTATTAAAAAAATTAAAAAAAATTAAAACAAAACAAAGGATGTGTAGTGCTCAGTGTTTTAAACCCAGTCTAGTAGTGTCTCCTATGAGGAAAATTTATTAGGTTGGTGCAAAACTAATCGCGGTTTTTGCCATCGCTTTTACTTACCTTTAATGGTAAAAACTGCAATTATACTTTTGCACCAACCTAATAGTTTATTTACATTTGGAATAAAAGCCGATATACTTAATTTTATTTCAAGCAATTTTATATATACTCTTTATTTCATTTGTCACTTTTTCCTTTTACTTTTCATTATTAGTTCTAATGTGATGCTATTACTATTTTTTCATATATTAATTTGCATGTTCTATTACACTTTAATTACACTTTTATGACACATATAAAATACACATTTTGTGCTACTGTTCTATAGATACCAACTCTTTCTACCACCAATGTGCTCACTTCTATCACTGTCCTCCTCCATCCCAATATAATGAGACAGTTAGAATAAGTTTTACTTTTTTACTTCCCCCTTCCAGATGAGGTCAAATTAGAATGCTTTTATTCCCATACCTCAACCCCATTTCCTACGTTTTGCTGAAATTCCAGATTTTGGTTACATTTTCTCTTGAAGTATGTCTCTTTTATTTAGAAAATCCTAATTTGGTAGTTACAAACATCAGCATTCACACCGAAATTATATATTTAAATTAAGCTACACACATGGCACGGTTCATTGCTTGCTGCTCTCATTTTCTTTCTTCATCTTCTCTTTCAGTAGGTCTCTGCTCTGCTCATTTGTTTGGCTAGAATTCTTTCTCAAACATTTTATTCAGATATATATGCAGACAGTGTATACTCTGACTTCTTGGATTTCAGCAAATATTTTTCTTTTACCCTGATAGGTAAATGATATCTTGGCTAGGACTGGAATCCCTGGGTTGCAGTCATTTTTTTCTCATGATCTACAGATATTACATAACCATCTCTGTCTTCCAGTCTGATCCACTCTGATTCTTTTTCAGTTTAAAAAAATTTGCTCTGTTTGAAAGTTTGTAAGATGTTCTCATTATCTTTTAAGTTCAGGACTTTTTCTAGAACGCGCATATGTGTATTCTTATTTATTAATCCTGCCTGAAACTTGAATTTATGGATTCAGTCTGTGTTATGTCTGCCTTCAGCTCGGGGATATTTTTTCTTATTATTTGTTTAATTATTGCTTCGCCATGTGTTCTTTGGTTCTCCTTCTGGAACTCTTATTATTTTTATGTTAGAGCTTCCGGTTCTGAACCCTAGATCTTTATTTTTTCTTCTCTGTCTTTTTGCTGGGGGAAACATTCCCCCTACTTTATCTTCTAGACTACCAATTTGAGTCTCAATAGTGATCATCCTCTTACTCAGTTCCTCTTACTAGTTTTAATTCATGTCTTTCTTCTAGAAATTATTTCACTGCTATGATTAAAGCTCTATAATTGCTGTATTTTTTTGTGCATGTGCGATCGTCCCATCCAGCGGTTCCATTCCATCAGAACTTCCCATTTTGGGCTTTTGGTTTTTCCTCTATCCTTCTGTCTACTGACTTTATTAATTAGAACTCAGATCTAGCTGGTGATCTTAAGTTATGGCAATCTCAAGACCGATGGACTGGTGGTATATCATTCAGAAAGTTGTCAGTCTGATAAAGTTTGGACGATGTTCCCTGTAAATCTCATGTTGAATTATAATCTACAATGTTGGAGATGAGGCTTAGTGGGAGGTTTTGGGTCATGAGGGTGGATCGCTCATGGTTTGGTGCTCTCATCACAATAGTGAATGCATGAGTTCTCACAAGAATTGGTGGTTTAAAGTGTGTGGCCCCTCCCCTGCCTCTTTCTTGCTCCTGCTCTGGCCATGTGACATGCCTGTTCCCCTTCACCTTCCACCATGAGTAAAAGCTCCCTGGCCGGGCGCGGTGGCTCACTCCTGTAATCCCAGCACTATGGGAGGCCGAGGCGGGCAGATCACGAGGTCAGGAGATCGAGACCATCCTGGCTAACACGGTGAAACCCTGTCTCTACTAAAAATACAAAAAATTAGCCGGCCATAGTGGCGGGCGCCTATAGTCCCAGCTACTCAGGAGGCTGAGGCAGGAGAATGGTGTGAACCCGGGAGGCGGAGCTTGCAGAGAGCCGAGATTGCGCCACTGCACTCCAGCCTGGGTGACAGAGCAAGACTCCATCTCAATAAAAAACAAAACAAAACAAAACTAAAACGCTCCCTGAGGCCTCCTCAGAAGCCAAGTAGATGCTGGCAGCATACTTCCTACACAGCCTGCAGAACTGTGAGCCAATTAAACCTCTTTTCTTTATAAATTACCTGGTCTCAGGTATTTCTTTATACCAATGTAAGAAGAGCTTAATACACAGTCTCTGGCTGAAGTAGCAAGATAGAACCTTTCTTCTTTCTGATCAACTCAGCTGGAAAAGCTAGAATTTTCCAGCTTCGGTGTGCCCTCAGCCATCTTGGACATGGAGATGGGCAGGTCCTTCCAGGAATGTGCACATAAGCTGATGCTGCTCTTCCTTGAAAGGATACACAGATTTCTAAGTGTATCAGTGCTCTTTTCTGATTCTCAATTCTCAACTCATGACTTTCTCATCACTAGTTCCCAGGCACTTATCAAGCCTAGAGAAGAAAAAGTCCTACTCTTTTGCTCTTCGACTGCCCTGGTAGACATGAACCTGGTTCACACTAGTCTCCATCTATCTACTGGTTCTTATGGTTTGATGCTCAATGGAGAAAATTGATGGGCAAATTCGAATTAGGAAAAGGGGCTAGTCAAAGTTATCAACAGACATCACCTCCAATAACTACTTTTCAGTTTCATAAACTAAGCCCCAGAAACACACAAGGCCATTCCCAGCCTATTTATGGGACAGCTTTATGCCCATTTTTTCCCAATGGGACGTCATATTCCCAGACCAGGAAGGCCTTAATGTCTCAGAACCCGTCTATTCTGAGGAGGTGGATTGGAAAAAAAGGTTAGCCTTCTCGTATCATTATTCATTATTATTAATCACTACCCTGATTGTGGCAAATACATTTAATCTTATTTGTCAAATTCAATTCATTAATCTGTCTACAATAGCAACTGAGCACAAAGAAGGCTTCAAGAACTGTCCTAGGTGCTAGAGATACATTGGTGAACTGGAAACCATTACTGACTCCTGTCAGGAGCCCTGTATTAAAGAGCTTTTGAGATGTCTGAGCTGTCTCAGTAGAGTGCTATAGTTAATTAGTGGTATCTGGACAGAGAATTTGAATTTGAACTCTGTCTCTGGACAGAGAATTTGAACATAGCAGCATATGTGTCAAGAAACTTAATTTTATATATTGGTTGGAGTAAAACATATCTGTGTATTTCACTTTGAGCTTTTATTTTTGTGGCTTGGTGAAGTTTTTCTGATTCTGGGAAATCTAACAAATTTTGTATCAAATTTGGATCTACAAACCTTGTAGTTTCCTTCACAGTGATTGCTACACATTGTCTCATCTTCTCATTCCCACAACCATAAAAGTATTTCTCTAAATGATTTTAGACACTTTTTCTTAAGGATGACTTGGCAGAAGGTACAAGGGACAAAATTTTATAGCTCTTTGGCAATACCAGTTGCTATAAGTATCATTTTTAAATTGAGAAGGAGTAATTTTCTGTTCTTAAAGGAGAAAGCCACTCCTCTCTCATAAGAGTTTTGGGTCCTTATTGGTGTTGAACTGGAGAGTATCTCCTTAAATTTTACACTCTGTGAACCTGTTGTGTCTAACCCTAATCCAACACCTGTCTAACTATCATTCCTTTATAAGTAACTGATCTTTTCTCACTGGCTGCATTAAAGATTCTCTCTTCTTCTTAGGTATTCTTTAGCTTCACTGTAATGTGTACAAACAGATTTGTTTTTATTTATTTTGTGAGAGATAATTTTTATCTCTCATCAAAGCAGTAAATTCTCATATATTATCTCCTTAAATGTTGCTTTTTCCCATTAACTCAGTTTTTCCCCTCTGGGACTCTGATTTGATGTTTGTTACTTCATCTCTTTGCCGCTCTGCACTACATTCTGGGCAATTTTTCACATTTCTTTTCCATTTCATTAATTCTTTATTCAACTCTGTCTAACTGGCCTTTTAACACATTTGTTATTTTTCAAACTCAATGATTATATTTCTATTTTGGGAAGTTCTATATGTTTTCTTTTTTGAAACCTCCCTCCTTATTTCTTCTGGTTTTTTTTCTTTCATGGCTTTAGGTTAAATTTTCTCTTTTAGTTCTTTAAATATTTATGCAAGTTTAGTTTATATTTTCGTGCCTGTGATTAGAAAATCTGAAGTCTTTATGGTCTTATCTTGCTGTTTGTGATTGAGTGAAAAGTTTCTCACTCATGGTGCCTAGTTTCTTTCTGAGGGTCTTTTTTTAAATTGTGAGTTTGCATTTATTCAATTTTATATGGGGGAGTCATTTGAGGCTTGGGTTTAAGGTGTGCTCTTCTACACAGTGTCTCAGAGCATTACCAACCAGAGAGTACTTTCAATCAAATGCTTAGTTTGATTTTTTTTCTTTTTTTGGCTCACACGAATAGTGTAAATTTTGGTCCCACACCTATGAGAGGGCCAATTTATGGTTATACATTCTCAAGGAAGATACTTTTTATTTAGAGTCAGGAAAATTTTCCTTTTTTTTTCCCCCCCTTTGTAGGGCAACTTCCTTATCCTCCCTTCTCCAATTTATCTTTTCTCTGAGTGCCATTTCTTGGGAAACAACGATTTAGACAGGGATTTCTGATCTGACTTTCCAACATGTAATATTAAGTTTTGCCTTTGTTCCCAGGATCAGCCCCAAAAATTGAAGCTCTAATTTGTCTGGAATAGGCAGATATCCATGGTGGCCATTGGCTCATTTCTCACCTTTCGGGAATAATTGCTTTATTACTTTTGGCCTTCAGTATTTTCCTTCTATTTTTGCTAGCTTAGCTATGGATTACATATATTTAAACATTTTATCCAGCATTTTCTGGTGCACAGGACAGATTCTCAAAATATTTTGTTTCATTATATTACCAGAAACAGACATCTCCATCATGTTTATATCTATCTTCAGCTGTTCACATTTTACATCTATATGCAGTTGATTCATTTATTCATTTTTATGGATAGTCAGCTCTCTAAAACAGATTAAAGCCTCTAAAGGAATTAGGTTCCTCTCTGCATACACCTACACCCTCCTTTTCATTGCCCATCACTGAAATCTATTAATCCATTAATGAAAACAAATCTAAACAGAACATACCAATGACTTCCCTTAGAGGTATAATTGTTTGTAAAACATTCTATGCTTTAGGTGAAAACATAGATACATCTTTGTATCTAAAATCTTTTCTGTTTCCCAGATTTGCTTCCAGCCTAGTAGTGGTAAAGAGATCACATTTTTAGTAAATTAGAATAGCCAAAGACAGAATCTGAATGCTTAAGACATAATCATGTCATTTCAGCACACAATATATGTCTATTCAGCAGATAGTTGCTGAGCACCACCAGGTGTTTCAGATACTATGGTAAGCACCAGGGATACCACAGCAAATGAGGCCAACTCAACCCCTGAGATGACACTAAGCATGTTGTGGTATGAAATACTAACATAGGCATGAACAAATTTAGTCCACACCTGGGCCCTATCCTGCATACTTCCACCAAACTTAGCCCCTAAGGGCTCTCTCCTTTATTTTTCTTTTCCATTTCCTTCCCTAATATGCAACATGGATACCGAAAAATATGAGTAGAACCTTAGCTTTCTCCATTGCTGAAAGAGTAAATATACACAATAGCCAGCAAAACTCAGCAAATCTCCCAGTTTTTCCTTATTAAAAAGAAATAGCTTTCTTTTAAAGAAAGAGGAATTTTAAGTTATATTCATTAAAAATGGTTGTCTGACACATTTTGTATTTTTTAGAAACTCTGTCTGTTTAATATAATGCAGTGTCCAATGTAAAAGAAGTGGTCCCTTATTAATGATTTATTCTTAGATAAATCACAGATTTATGGCTCACTGGGATATATTTAATACTGTCAAAATATGAAAGGACACCCCAAACTATCTGCAGTGCCACAGCCACTCATTCTGAAAAGGATCTGAGGCAGCAGAGACCCCTGGGTGTTAAATGTAATCTTTGCCTGGGATAAAAGCATGGAGAATTGCTGATCTTTATAAAAAGATCTGTCTCTACCCAACGCCTTCCTCCTCTCTCTTCTACCACAGTGCAGTTCATCGTCAGAAAGCTCAGAATTGAATATTAAGGGGGAAAATGGGTTGTGTTTGTCGCATTTAAAAAAATCTACAGCCAGACAGGACTCTTTTTTAGTGCCTGCTAGAGAAAAGTTCATCACTAAAACAAATATAGTCTCTTGATGGTAATGGATAAATTTGACAAGAGAAATAATTGAAAACCTATAGAAAAACAGGAAATATGTTTTCCCAATCTTACTGTTATCATCAACTGAATGAAATGTAGAACTGGCTGCCAAAAATAACTACATAAAAAACTCATGTAGCACCAATTCCCAATTCTTAGAGTCAGAACTTACGTCTTTATTCTCACTCTGAGATTTCATCCACTTTTATCTATATGGATTTGATGTTGATGACTTTTAGAGCTAAGCTTCTATCCTGACCTCCCACCTTCATGGAACATTCCCATTTTTAGGCCTGTTAATACTTTCCACTTGGATACTCAACAGTCACACCAAATTCAATGGGACTAAAACACAGCCTTACTCCTTTTCTTCATTTTCTTTCACACTGAATTTTTTTTCAGCTTTACCATTTCACTCAAGGGCACCAGAACTCTTCTGGTCTCCAAGTTGAAAAAATTTAAAGACATCTTTCACTTTAGTCTTTTTCTTCAACCCATATAACCAATTTATCCCAAAATCCCATTATTCCTTTTCTGAAATGCCTCTCAGATGTGCCCCTTACTCTCCATACCCATAGCCAGCACCCTGGCGCACGCTCAAACCACCTCAGGCCTCAGTTTGACTTCTCAGTGTAGATGATCCCTGGTTTCACCCATTCCTGTCTCTCTGCCTCTTTCAGTTCAACCTTCTGAGCTTAATTCCAAGCACCACACTAAAGAGCTTCTGCTGTCTTGCTCCAACATAACATCCTGCTTTCTCTGCAAACAGCTTTGTGTAATTCCCTGTATTCACCACAGCCATGCCCACTCTTGCCTTTTTGCCCATTTTGCTTTCCTTGCTGGGGATACCAGCCCTCCTGTTCCCCAGTATCTTTCTACCCCAATCCAGCTCATCCTTCCAATTCATGTATGTAAATTTAGTTAAAAATCAGTTTCATTTTCATGTACTTTAAAATGCAACAATTAATTGACAGAATGACTACATCCAGTTACTCTCTCTGCCTCCTACACCCCCAAACTACTATATTTAAACATTGTAATAACATCATCCCTTCCTCGGGGGCTGGGAAGAGTCGTATTTTTATTTTAACAGAATTCTATATGAAAAGAGTTTTGTCTTCATTTCAAGATGACCCAGTCATTTCTATTACAAACATTTTCTCTACTATTATACTGGTGTCATATGTGACATAATAATCCTATTTTATAGTGTATAATGGTTGCAAATTTTCATAGACCCTACTATCAAGGGTGAGACAAATGCTGGCTTCCAACTTCTAGGCTTTGTCGAAGTACCATGGGCACTGTATTTGCAGGGTTAGGGGCCCTATCACTCTGAGTTTCCTGTGGTCCCTGCATGCTCCCTTCCCTGTGGATTTGGAGCACCAACTTCTGATTTCGTGGAGCCAGGACACTATACTTGCTTTATGGTATGACAGAGGACACATTCTAAGTCACTCTTAGAATAACCTGTTTTCCAAAAAAGCATCCCCCGAATGCTTTTCTAAATCCCCCTGATGGACAACTGGCATGGACATTCCCTAGTACAGAGATATAAAGTGAATTCTGCTTTGGAGAAGCCTCTTGGCACAGATTCTTGTTCCAAGAGTCTCTGCTGTGTAGTCCTAGAATTTCAGCAGCATGTTCTGAAGGTCTGCAGAAAACTACCCAAGAAGTGCACAGAGAGGTTAATTTTGATTTGGTCTGCTGTAAATTATGAAAGATATAGTTTTGACAATTGTAATAGCTTCCTATGTTTGCTACAGTGTTTTATACACATTGGAAAAAAGAGAGAGAAAGGTGTTATATTTCTTTGAGCCTGTAATTTTATTTCAAACAAAAACTTTAACTAATAAATACATTTGGAATAACTGGTTGAATAAAGGTTATGCTAATTTTATGAGCATATAAAGTTTTATACATATAAAACTTGTAATATACACCATTTATAAAGTAGCAATGTGACTTTAGTGCTATAAAAATGGCATAGAAATAATTGTTAATTATGTATTTCCACTTGAAATGAATAATTTTTAATCTTTTGACTTTTGGCCATAGAAGTTGTGGAAAATGTTTCTGAATGAAAGATGTCTTGGGTTAGGAGTGGAAGACAGATCATGACTGGGAGACACAGGGCGGTGGTTGGAGTGAACATCACGCATAACCACAATTGGTCAAAGTCAGGACCAAGGTTTGAGAAAGCTGATTTTGTTCTGCCTCAACTGCCCACAACTTGACACAAAACCTATGCCCTTCACCACTATCTTCCACAAGACATGTAACCTCTACAAGAATACTGTGCTTTCAGTAATTCTGATGAAAATTCCCAGGACATGGTTACAAAACACATGGCATTTCCTTGGAAAAAAAATCCCATTGTATATCTGTTTACTGCAGGAGGCCTGGAGAAGGGTTCCTATCCTCTTCTAATTTTCTCCTCCCACGCACACCTCAGCATATGGCCACAGCTGCCTCTGTCTCCTTCCTCCTGGATTTCTCTATTTCCATCTCATTTACTCTGAGCCCCTTCTCATGCAGAGCAATTTAACTCTGCCACAGCATCTCTGCCTCAGAACTTGCATCCTCCACTGTTTCAAGAGGTAAAAGAGAGAAACTCAATGAGCAGCCTGACAGTACCAGTCTCAATTGGCTGGGGTGCAAGAAAGGGCAAAAGAACTCTCAGACCTAACATTACTTTGGAAGAGAATTCTCACACTCCTGGAAAGTAGCCCAGAAGCCTTTCTTACACGAATTTCCAACTAATAGTTGATTTAAAAGAGTATTCATATTTAAGGTGAGTAATGATGTAAAGAGAACTTAAATAGGAATTAAGTAGAAACGTACAAATGGTGAGGGAGGTTGTAAAGAAACAAAGCAACAGCAAAGAAAAGTAACTCAATAAAACTTTGCCACAGAGTAGGACAAAATGGTGACTAACATGTTATTATGGCAAGAATTAAAAGTTTTAAAGAGATAAGACCATAAAGAAATAGCAAAAAATGAACATGCAAGGGCTCACGGATGAAACTGAATGTGATTGTTGAACTTAGGAAGAAAGAGAAAGGCTAGAGAAGGACTATCAAGGCTGTGCTTGTGAAAACTTCACTCAGCAGAGCTGAATGAGGCACGAGGACGGTGCCTGAAGCAGCCTCACCAAAAGAGGCAAACTTGAGGGCCCTAAAGCAAACAGGATGGAAGGAAAAGAGCATCAGAGCCAGGAGTGGCCAGAAAGGAGAGGTCATTGTTTTAGTATTTTAAAAAAATTTAAAATTGGAATCATGTACTCTTCAAATTAACATTAATATACAATGATTCATTTATTTTAAAATATTTTATGCTGAGCAAGACTCTTCTACTGAAGGATTACACCATGTTTAAATGTCAAATCAAACAAAGAAACATTCATCTTAAAAGTTTTATTCTACACTCATTTTCCTCAAAAAGTAAAATAATATGACAGTTAGCAAGAAAAAGCTTTTAATGTAAGAAAATTCTTATTTTAGTTCAAAGATTTTCAAAATAAATGACATGTGATAGTATTGAGATTGCCTCAAGTAACTCTAGTCAAGAAACTTTAACTATATTGTATGAAACAAAACAACAAAAAATCCATAAATACTTTCTGGGAGACAACAACTTTAGCTTTTTGACTGATTAGAAACAACTGCAGCCAGAGTTTCACTACTGCTTACAATGTAGAAAGTTAGGACCGGTGTCACTCCTACCCTGTCAACTCAAAAAGACCAGACAAAGCACAGAATCGCAGTTGTATTTCAACCCAGCCAAGAGCTGAGATTTTAGGGCAAAAAGTAGTCAGAAATCCAAATAAAAATGAGGCCGACCCAGGAGAGACAAGGTGTAACACCAGCTCACCTGTGCCAGAACATGGGAGGAAGACACACGAGGCCATAAAAGAAGACAAAAATAATGCAGCTAAATTTTTTAATGAGTTGATAAAGGCCAAGTGTGAGCAAATATGAGAGTACAGAATCCCTAAGAGCTGTGAATGCAAATGGACTTCATATTCATTCACAAAGTATTCTCCACAGACCACAACCAGGTCTTACAAAAAAAAGCTTGAGGAGGAGACAGAAGATGGGCAGGAAGTTCCCCAGGGAAAGGGAGGTGGCTGCTGCTGCAGGAACCCCTCTTACCCACCTTAAGGTAAAAACCCATTGTAGCTGGGAGGCCGAGAGGGATAAAAGAATAAATCCCTTTACTCATGGGGAAGGAGCAGTAAGGAGTTCTGGCAACTATGCATAAAGCTGCTATAAACATCTGTGTACGGTAGTCTCCCTGTATCCATGGAGATGCATTGCAAGACCACCAGTGGATGCCTAAAACTATGGATAGTACCAAACTCTATACACACTATATATTTTCCTATAAATACGTATCTATGATAAAGACTAATTTATAAATTAGGCACAGTAAGAGATTAATAACAATAACTAATAATAAAAATAGAACAATATACTGTAACAAAAGTTATATGGGTATAGTCTCTATACATCTCTCCCTATCCCCCTTAAAATATTGTATTGTACTATACTCACCCTTCTTCTTCTTGTGACGATGTAAGATGACAGAATGCTTACGTGATAAGAAAAAGTGAGGTGAATGACTTAGGCATTATGACATAGCATTAGAGTATTAGTCTACTATTTGTTGACAAATAGTAGCATTAGTCTATTATTTGTTGACAAATAGTAGCATTAGTCTATTATTTGTTGACTAGTGGTATCTTGTTGTGGTTTTATTTTGCATTTCCCTAATAAGTGTTGTCGAGTATATTTTCATGTCTTTATCTTCCATTTATAGTTCTTCTTTGGTGAAATAACTGTTTGTGTCTTTGCCCCATTTTTAAATTGGGTTGTTTGTTTACTTATTATTAGTTTGAAAGTGTTTAATATATATTATGAATACAAGTTGTTTATGACATATCTGTTCTACAAATGTGTCTTCCTGGTCTGTGGTCTGTTTTTCATTTTCCTAAGTGTTTTTTGAAGAGCAAAAGTTTTAAAATTTTGATGAAGTACAATTTGTCATTTTTACTCTTTTATGGATTATGATTTTGTGAGTTTTTAAAGAAATTTTTGCCTAATTAATGTTCATTAAGACTTTGTTATTTTTTAGAAGCTTTATAGCTTTAGGTTTTACATTTAATTCTATTATCCATTATATGTTAATTTTATAAATAGTGTGATCAACTTTCCTTTTTGCATATTGATATCCAACATTTTTAGCACCATTTGTTGAAAGGACTATCTTTTCTCCATTGAATTGCCCTTGCATCTTTGCCTGATGTTATTTCTACTCTTCCTGAGCATAGAACAAAAGAGAACTTCCAATTCTCAAATTCATTTTACAAAGTTATGATTGTAAAACCAACAAAAATAGCCCCAAAATATCCCACAGAACAATTTTACATATGAACATTGATGCAAAAATTCTACATAGGATTATTCATTTGGGGCTATTTTAGAAATGCAATATTAGGATATCTAAAAATATAATTTACTATATTAACAGCTCAAATAAGAAAAATCACCACCAGAATAAATCATTCCAACTGATTTTAAAGCACAGTAATGTATATGGGTCATTCCTTTTGGAATATTGATAATTGTTAAAAAAATTTGCAAAATATTTTAGGCTTTTTAAACTAATCATATTCTGGAAAGTACTGCTAGTAATGTTACCCTCAGGCTACTCTGTGTTTAGTATGGTAATTATATTGGTGCAGATGTTTTGATGTAGAAGAAAGAAGGCAACAGTCAAAGTAAGATTAATGAAATTAAGTTAAAACTCTACAGTCTGACTCTGTATTAGAAGACTCAGTATGAGTTCATGATGAATTTTATCTTTTAAGACATTTTCTGTCTGTGTCCACTGGAAAAAAATATATAAATAATGATAAAGCCAGGTGCAATAAGCACCTGTAGCACCCAGATTATGGTCTCTAAATACTTCAGGACTCCTTGAAGAAATGGTTGATTCAAATCTGGGGCAGAAAAAGAGTTTGGAACAACTTGACATATCAGAAAGTAAGGAAGTAAGGAAGTTATCAAATACTACTAAAGTTGTTTCTAAAGGACTTGGAGTCCAACTTGAATAAGCTCCCAGTAGCCCAACATAGAAAAACGTGTGCACCAATAAGGACAACAACTGCAATGAATTTAGAACACCTCATATATGTGTTCATCATGATGATGGGTTCATAATAATAGTAAAAAAGCACGGGTCATCATTTGGGGCATCCTAGGGAGTCACTTCATATTTTACAAATTGCTCAATAAAGGGAAAGAGCCAAGCACCTCTCTTGTCTTTCTTTTACGAACTGTACCTCAGGGAACTCTAGTAGTTGTTGAGGAGAATTTTCTCTTTAGCTGACAACTCTAGCTAATAAAGAAATAAAAACAGAACATTACCCTTTGGAATGGCTATGAATTAAGGGATCTAGAGAATAATTATCAGTGGTTGCTAAAGTCCCCAAAAGAGAAAAAAAATAACAAAACCAATACTATGTACGTCCTGCTGGAATACCCAGCACAGCTTATGAAGTAATATTACCAAAATAAATTAAATCTAAATTTGTCCAGTCACTAAATTTAACTACCAATTTATAGCAAAACAAGGCTCAGGGGAGCACAGAGCACATTCATCAATACCATAGAAATGCAATCAACACAATACAAACTGCAGAAAACTCCACAGACTTGAGCACTTCAACAAAAACATCGCAAGGAAAAAAAGACATTCTAAGGTACCTTCGGAATTATCTAAGAAATATGTAATTAGTGGAAGGTTAATTAAACATATTTTAAATAAAAATTTTTACCAACATGTAATATACATAAAGAAAAGTGCAAAAAGCCTAAGTATACATTTGATAAGTTTTTACAAAGCAAATATACCTGAGTCACCAGCACGCAGATCACAGAAGAGAATATTCCCAGCACCAAGAAAGACCCCTGCATACCTGCTTCCAGTCACTAACCAGCCTTCCTCAAGGGTAACCACCATCTTGACTTCTAACATTACAAATTAGATTCTACTATTTTTGAATTACATATAAACACAATCTTACACTGTGGTGCATTTTTTGTTTTGTTTTGTTTTTGTTGATTATCTGTTCTCTTTTGCTTGACACTAGGTTTCTGAGATTCACCCATGTTGTTGTGTATTGTGGTGTCATCCTTGTACAGTGTTCCATTGTGTGACTATATAATATTTTATTCATCATGTTGATATGCATTCAGATTGTTTCTAGCATTTGGATAATGGATAGTGCTGCTTTAGATGTTCTTATACATGTCCAAATGAATATATATGTACGTTTCTGTGGGGTTTATACCTAGGAATGGAAGTTGCTGGGTTATAGGGTATGTAAACATTTTTAGTAGTTATTTAACTAAACAGTTTTCAAAACATAGCTGTACCACATCTTTACCATCATTTTGTATAATCAATCTCTTATATTTTAGCTGTTCTGGTAAGTAAGTACAAAGCTATCACATTGTAGTTTTAATTTGCACTTCTTTAAGAGCTAGTGAAGTTGATCATCTTTTGTGTGTGTGTGTGTATGTGTGTGTGTGTGTGTGTGTGTGTATGTGTGTGTAGTGAAGTGCCTGTTTGGAGTTTGTACCCATTTCTCTACTGGGCTGTCAGCCTTTTATGATTCATTTGTAGAATTTTGTTTTATATTCTGCATAGGAGGAGTGCTTTGTCAACTACACACTGCAAATATCTTCTTCAACTTCATGGCTTGCTTTTTCACTATTTTAATTGGTATATTTTCATAGACAGCGAATTATATTTTAATGAATTAAAATGCTTTGAAAATGGCAAGTTATGCATAATTACATGCATAACAACTGTACTCAAAAACTGAATTGCTAACCAAGTAAAGCACCAACTTGCAGGTATATGGTTTACACAACTTATTTTCTACATATATGTACATAGGTTTGTTTTCATTGTTGTTATCTCCATATAATAAGGTCTCCTTGTAGCTAAGCCTTAAAAATACAAAAAAAAAATCACTCAAATTCATTCAAACAATTCAATCACTGTTTATTTGATACCTACTATTTGCCAGGCACAAAAAACATCTCCATAATCATGGAGTTTATTTTCTATTTGGAAAAAACATACAATATGTACAAAAACAATTAGACACAAAAATATTAGATGATGAAAAACATTGTCAAGAAAATGAGAAGCCACATACTGGAAGAAAATATTTCTAAAATACTTACTGATAAAGGATTTTTAATAAAATTAAATGTTCTTATACAGAGAACTCAATACTTAAGAACAAGAAAATTAACAATCTAACTAAAAAATGGGCAAAAAATCTGAACAGACTTCTTAACAAATAAGACACACTTTAGCAAATATAGATAAAGCATATGAAAAGGTATGCAACATCATACTTCATAAGGTAATTACAAATTAAAATGATATATCACTATATACCTATTGAATAGCCAAAATCCAGAACACTGACAACATCAAATGTTGGTGAAAATGTGGAGCAACAGGAACTCTCTTTCCTTGTTGGTGGGAAAGTGAAATGGTACAGCCACTCTAGAAGACAGTTCAGCAGTTTCTTACAAAACTAAATATACTGTTACTGTACAATCCAGTAATTAGACTCTTGGGTATTTACCCAAATGAATTAAAAACTATGTCCACATAAAAACCTGCACACAGCTGTTTATAGCTGTTTTACTTATAATTCCCAAAACTTGGAAGCAACCAAGATGTCCTTTAATTAGTGGATGGATGGATAAACCGTGGTACATCCAAACAATGAAACGGTATTGAGTGCTAAAACAAAATTCACTATCAAGCCATAAAAAAGACATGGAGAAACTTTAAATGCATATTATTAGGTGAAAGAAGTCAGTCTGGAAAGTCTACATACTGTAAAATTCCAACTATATGACATTCTGGAAAAGGCAAAACTATGGAGGCAATAAAAAGTGTGTGGTTGACAGGAAGGAGTCTGTGGGGAGGAAGAGATGAATAGTTAGAGCACAGAGGATTTTTAGGGCATTGAAACTATTTCGTCTGTTTCTAAAATTGTGGACACATAATATTATACATTTGTCAAAACTCATAGAATATACAAAACTAAGAGTAAACCCTAATATGAACTATGGACTTTGGGTGCTAATGATGTTTCAATGTTGGCTCATTGATTGTAACAAGTGTACCACTCTACTGAGGGATGTTGATGGCAGGGGAGGCTGTGTGTATGTGTATATGTGTGTGTGTGTGTGTGTGTGTGTGTGTGTGTGTGTGTAGATGTGTGTAAATTTAATGTCTTAGTCAGTTCAGGCTACCATAACAAAAATACCATAGACTGAATGGCTTAAACAATAGGAATGTATTTATCACAGTTCTGAAGGCTGGAAAGTTCAAGATCTTATACTTTAAGTTCTGGAGTACATGTGCACAATGTACAGGTTTATTACATAGGTATACATGTGCCATGGTGCTTTGCTGCACCCATCAACCCTTCATCTACATTAGGTATTTCTCCTAATGCTATCCCTCCCCTAGCCCCCCACCTCCCGATAGTCCCCAGTGTGTGATGTTCCTCTCCCTGTGTCCATGTGTTCTCATAGTTCAACTCCCACTTATGAGTGAGAACATGCGGTGTTTGGTTTTCTGTTCCTGTGTTAGTTTGCTGAGAATGATGATTTCCAGCTTCATCCATGTCCTTCTACTTCCTTTCTAAGTACAGATTATGGCAAAGGAAGTCTTATTCCCAGGATTATTTCCAACTTTGCTTATTATTTTGTCTTTTAAAAATTTTTAAAAAACTGGAAGTCTCTTCCTTTCATTTCAGATTTCCTGGAATCTTTGCTGAAACTCTCCCTTTGGCTGTCTGCCCACAGTGTCTTCTCCCTGAAGCTGACTTGCAGAGAAACTGGGGAAGGAAAGGATTGTTGGGGCCATTGTTCCCATGATAACTCACCTTTGAACACTTCTTGAGAATTGTCAATAGTTCTGCATTCACTATTTTATTTTTCATTGAAATGAGGACTTTTAAGGTTTATCAAATGCCAATGCCTCTATGTTTATTTTAAAAGTTATACCTAGCTACTTAAAAAATTATATATGCTCAATGAGAAAAATCTGGAAAACACAATAAGTATAAAGAAAAAAGTGAAATAATTTGTCAGTATCATGAATCATATAACCTATTTTTCATTCTTTTTCCTACAATATACTAGGTTTTTTGTTTGTTTTTTTTTTTTGGAAAGTCAGGATTGTATTTTATACCCTACATTGTATACTATACCCTACATTGATTGTATACTCTCCAGTCATTCTCACAGAGACTCACAGTGATGGGTGTCATCATCTCTGTTTCATAAAAGAGGAAACTATTTTTAATGGGGTTATTTGGTTTTTGTTTGTTAATTTAAGTTCCTTATAGATTCTGGATATTAGACCTCTGTTGAATGCATAGTTTGTGAATATTTTCTTCCATTCCATAGGCTGTCTGTTTGCTCCCTTGGAAGTTTCTCTTGCTGTGCAGCAGCTGTTTCATTTAATTAGGTCCTAGTTATCAACTTTTGCCCTTGTTGCAATTGCTTTTGAAGACCTAGCCATAAATTCATTGCCAAGGCCAATATTGAGAAGGATATTTCCTATTTTTTTCTAGGATTTTTATAGTTTGAAGTTTTATATTTAAGTCTTTAATCCATCTTGAGTTAATTTATACACCTTTGTAACAAACTTGCACATGTACCTCCTGATTCTAACATAAAAGTAGAAAAAAGATAGAACTTTCATCTGAAAATGTGAACAGTTTCCCTGAGGACCCAGGGGAGAGCTGTGCTTGCACTCTTGATGTTCTAACCATGACTCAAGCCTTGGGCCTTTATATCACAAATGACACAGTACTTCCAACCACAAAAACTCTTATTTATTGCTGATTCTCTACCCTTTTAATATGTAAGCCTGATCAGTTATTCTTTCTCCTAACTCTCCAATGGCTCTCCACTGTGACTTCTCCAGAGTGAAAGCCAAAATGCCTGTACTCTACCCTCATCCCACCACTTCTCTGACTCATCCTTTATGTCTCCCTCCACCCCAGTTCATCCTATTACAGCCATACTGACCCCCCTGTTATTCCCTGAGCAAGGTCTGCTGCCAGCTTATGGTTTTATACTTGCTGCCCCCTTTACTCCACATACTTTTCCCAGAAAACCCCAGATATCCACATGGTTCTCTCCTTCACTTTCTTCAGGTCTCTACTTAGATGTCACGTTATTAATGAAGCCCACCCCGACCATCTATATAGCAAACCCCCCCTCTCCCCAGAGAGAGAGGAGAGGGAGAATGAGAGGGAGAAGAGAGGAAAAGAGAGAAGGAGAGGAAGACTTCCCATCCCTACTGCCTGCCTTGATTCCTCCTCGGTACTTATCACCACATAGTATGCTGCGTAGTTACTTGTTTATTCTTTCTAATTTCTCTTCCCGTCCCACCTTATTCCTAAAGTCCCTTATGTCAGAGATTTTGCTTTGTTTGTTGAAGTGAACTATGACAATGCCTGGAACACTGTAGGCTCTCAATACATTTTTTATTGGATGAATGAGTACAGGCTAGATGCCCTACACAGTGATTTATATGCATTTCTCTCTCTCTCTCTCTCTTTCACTGTCTCCAAGTCCCTGATGGAAAGAGCATAAGATGTGCTGTTTCCAAATTCAAACATACGTATTTGTAATAACAATTACACAGATTCTATTATCAGAAAATGATGTTTAATGTTTAAGAATTGAAAATTAAAAGTCACCTTTGACAGCGTGGCCAACATGGTGAAACTCCATCTTTACTAAAAAGTACAAAAATTAGCCAGGTGTGGTGGTGCACGCCTGTAATTCCGGCTACTCAGGAGGATGAGGCACAAGAATTGCTTGAACCTGGGAGGTGGAGGATGCAGTGAACCGAGATCATGCTACTGTACTCCAGCCTGGGTGACAGAGCAAGACTCTGTCTCAAAAAATAAAAAGTCACCTTTGATTCCAAGGATCCAAAAAAATCCATTTGACTCCTTGTCTCCTTGTTTTTCCATGAAACGTCTGCAAAAGTGGTTGTTCTAGCATTGTATATACACTGAATACATACTATTTTACCAAAGAAATAAAAAGGAAAATCAATAGCCTAGCTCAAGTACTCAACTAGCTTTTTTAAAAATGTGATGATCTGATAAAGTCAAGCTCCAGAGAGCCAATCAGCAAAGAACTAATTGCTTGAGTGAATTCATTATTATTTTCAATTCAATCAGTTGTGTAAAGTTTATGTACGAGTGTTAAAAGTCAGCTAGTTTGAGGTTTAAAAACTTTCTTCATGACTGTAGGAAGATAGAGAGAATGCAGCTTCAGTTATAACCACTGAACATAAACATTACTTTGGATAACTCTAAGTTATCTAACAAGCATTTACTAGACACTGCATCTCCGTGCAGGGCTCAAGCTTGTTTCCTGAGGTCCCAGAACTGACAATCTAGCTGGGAAGAGAAGGTGTGTGCCTAAGTAAACTGGCACATAAGATTAGGTTAACAAACAAAATGCATTATCCTTCTTCCATCTCAGCCTTAACTCTGAGCTGACTTGGGCCCCTGGCTGTAGGCTGAATGAAGTCTCTGACTTTAAGGGATTAAGTACAAAGCAGCACTGCCCTGCCTCTCTCCTAATCCGCTTTAGGACAATAGAGGTGACCAGAAGAGAGCAATTCATTTGTGCAGATGGCTTAATTTAAATAGCTCTTCATAACAATTGGGTTGGGCCAACAGCAGAACTTCTTAGGTTTTCTCTCATGCTGGGACTTAGGGCTACTCCTCACTGCTCACTGAGTTTCCAAGGCATGATATGTGCTCGCCATCTAGGCAAATTTACACAAAATTGATTAATACTTCACTTCCATGTTATTGAATTTGATATATGAGTTTTAAATCATATAGCTCATGGCATTTAGTCAACAAAACACTGAAATGCCTCTTTTTAAAAATGATTTGGATGATGTCCTAAAAATTTCTAAGTTATTGAGACTGTGTGAACGAATTTATTAAGTTTAGTGAACAAATTTCCTGTATTAGGGTAAGATGACTCTTTGTGTATGCAAAACTTTCTTACGAAAGGTTAAATAACTTTTCCATCATTCTTTCAATGTCTAAGATAAATGGTCTTAGGTTATCAGGTAGATGATATTTAATGCAGTAGTGTACCAAAATTAAAAGCAATCTATAAGAAAAAGAAGAAAGAGAAAGAGGAAAGGGATTTGAACACAATAAATGGCACATTCATGTTTATATGTGAATGTTTAGATTCCTAACTAGACTGTAAGTGATCACAGAAAGATTCATTTCTTCACCCGCTTCATACTGTTCATTCACAGTGTGATGGCATTACACAATCAACTACTGGAAAGGCACAGTCCAGAGCAGGAATACTGACCTTTGGAAAAATTGTGAAGAGACAATGGTGTCTCTTGTCTGCAGTTTTTTTCTCCTTCTAACCTTTCTAATAACCCTTCATCCTTGCAAACATTTTAATGTTTTCAAGGGTCCATGTTTCCTTCTCTCAGAGAGAAAAATCAAACATTCATAGAATACCTAACACATCCAAGTATTGTGCAAGGCACGGGTTTTCCATAAATAATAAAGAAGATTGATCTTGCTAGAAGAAGTACACTATATAAAATGCATCATATATAGACCATATACGTGTGTGTTTAAAAGCTATTGAAAGAGAGAAGTAATAGATTTTTGGACAAAAATGTAATTAAAGTTGAAATTGTTAATAAAATAATATCTAGAAATGTCTCAGATATTTGGTAAATAAATAACTTCTAAATAATCCATGGGTCAAAGAAGAAATTATTAGAAGAATTAGAAAGTATTTAGAAATGGGTGCTAAGGAAAACACAATATTATTTGAAAATGTTTATAATGCGTAAAAAGAAAATTATGCTTTTAAATGGTTATATTAGGATAAAAATAAAAGTTTCAAATCAATAATTTCAACTTCTGTCTTAAGAAGATCAGAATGAACTGAAAGTAAGTAGAAGGTACTAAATAATAAAGATGAGAGCAGAAATCGATAAAACAGAAAATGGTAAATATTCTGACACTAACTGATAAACTGCAATACAGTTCTGATGGCAACCACCTGGAGTTAAAGTCAGACTTCACAGGGTTGAGAGCATGGTCCACAACAAGACTCCTCTTACTTTAGATGCCAGCCACACTTCAAGGGTTCCGAGGCTGCTCACATGTCTTGCCACCTGGTTGCAAATCCAGGAGTTTCCCATGTCCTCCCTCAGGTTTGATAATTCACTGAAATGTCTCACAACTCTGGAAAGAATTATGCTAATGATTACAGTTTTATCATTTTATCATAAAGGTTATAAATTAGGACCAGCCAAATGAAGAAACACACAGAACAAGTCTGTAATGGTCCTGAATGCAGATCTTCCATGCCCTCTCCCTGTGGAATCAGGGCACACTACCCTCCCTGGCACATCAAGTAAAGTGATAAATATTCTACATCTTGGTAAAAAGACAGTTATGTGGGTCAAAATGCATTGAATTGTGCACTTAAGATTTGTGTATTTAACTCTGTAAAGTCTATCCCAACCACACCTACTCCTCCACACCCTCTCCCCACCAAAACACTGGAAACAGATACTGAACTCTATTTAGGAGATCTTCTCTTCTTACAAGTAGGCAGTACCGATTCTGAAACTACCTTATCTCTATTCTAGGCTTAAGCAAATGTATTAGTTGGTTTTCACACTGCTGATAAAGACATACCTGAGACTGGGAAGAAAAAGAGGTTTAATTGGATTTACAGTTCCACATGGCTGGAGAGCCCTCAGAATCATGGCAGGAGGCAAAAGCACTTCTTACATGGTGGTGGCAAGAGAAAATGAAGAAGATACAAAAGTGGAAACCACTGATAAAACCATTAGATCTCATAAGACTTATTTACTACTGCAAGAACAGTATGGAGGAAATCACCCTCATTATTCAAATTATCTCCCACCAGGTCCCTCCCGCAACACATGGGAATTATGGGAGTACAATTCAAGACGAGATTAGAGTGGGGACACAGAGCCAAACCATATCATTCCACCCCAGCCCCTCCAAATCTCATGCCTCACATTTCAAAACCAATCATGCCTTCGCAACAGTCCCCCAAAGTCTTAACTTGTTTCAGCATTAACTCAAAAGTCCACAATCCAAAGTCTCATCTGAGACAAGGCAAGTCCCTTCTGCCTATAAGCCTGTAAAATCAAAAGCAAGTTAGTTACTTCCTAGATACAATGAGGGTACAGTTATTGGGGAAATACACTCATTCTAAATGGGAGAAATTGGCCAAAACAAACAGGGCCCATGCAAGTCTGAAATCCAATGGGGCGGTCAAATTTTAAAGCTCCACAATTATCTCCTTTGACTCCAGGTCTCACATCCAGGCCACACTGATGCAAGAGGTGTGTTCTCATGGTCTCAAGCAGCTCTCCCCCTGTGACTTGGCAGGGTACAGCCTCCCTCCCAGCTGCTTTCATGGGCTGGCATTGAGTGTCTGAGGCTTTTCCAGGTGAATGGTGCAAGCTGTCAGGGGATCTACCATCCTGGGGTCTGGAGGATGGTGGCTCTCTTCTCACAGTTCCACTAGGCAGTGCCCCAGTAGGGACTCTGTGTGGGGGCTCCAACCCACATTTCTCTTCGGCACTGCCCTAGCAGAGGTTCTTCATGAGTGTCCCACCCCTGCAGCAAACTTCTGCCTGGGCATCCAGGCATTTCCATACATCTTCTGAAATCTAGGTGGAGTTTCCCAAACCTCGATTCTTGACTTCTGTGCACTCACAGACTCAACACCACATGGAAGTTGCCAAGGCTTGGGGCTTGTGCCCTCTGAAGCCACAGCCCGAGTTCTACGTTGGCCCCTTTCAGCCATGACTGGAGCAGTTGGGATGCAAGGCATCAAGTCTTTGAGTGCATACAGCACAGAAACCCTGGGCCTGGCCCACAAAACCATTTTCTCCTAGGCCTCTGGGCCTGTGATGGGAGGGGCTGCTGTGAAGACCTCTGACATGTACTGGAGACATTTTCCCCATTGTCTTGGAGATTAACATTCAGCTCCTGGTTACTTATGCAAATTTCCGCAGCTGGCTTTAATTTCTCCCCAGAAAATGGGTTTTTCTTTTCTATCACATTGTCAAGCTGCAAATCTTCCAAACGTTTATGCTCTGCTTCCCTTATAAAACTGAATGCCTTTAATGGCACCCAAGTCACATCTTGAATGCTTTGCTGCTTAGAAATTTCTTCTGCCAGATACCCTAAATCACTTCTCTCAAGTTCAAGGTTCCACAAATCTCTAGGGCAGGAGGAAAATGGTGCCAATCTCTTTGCTAAAACATAACAAGAGTCACCATTGCTCCAGTTCCCAACAAGTTTCTCATCTCCATCTAAGACCACCTCAGCCTGGACCTTATTGTCCATATTGCTATCAGGTTTTTGGTGAAAGCCATTCAACAAGTCTCTAGGAAGTTCCAAATTTTCCCACATTTTCCTGTCTTCTTCTGAGCCCTCCAAACTGTTCCAACCTCTGCCTGTTACCCAGTTCCAAAGTCCCTTCCACATTTTCAGGTATCTTTTCAGCAGCACCCTGCTCTACTGGTACCAATTTATTGTATTAGTCTGTTTTCACACTGCTGATAAAGACAACTCGAGACTGGGAAGAAAAAGAGGTTTAATTGGACTTACTACATGGCTAGGGAGGCCTCAGAATCATGGCAGGAGGTGAAAGGCACTTCTCACATGGTGGTGGCAAAAGACAATGAAGAAGATGCAAAAGTGGAAACCCCTGATAAACCCATCAGATCTCATGAGACTTATTCACTACCACAAGAACAGTATGGGGGAAACTGCCCCCATGATTCAAATTATCTCCCACAGGGTCCCACCCACAACACATGGGAATTGTGGGAGTACAACTCAAGATGAGATTTGGGTGGGGACACAGAGCGAAACCATGTCAGCAAGTTAGTAAATATATTGAGGATAATGGGATATAGAGAGAAGGAAGACTAGAATGCATCCTGTCATGTTAGATTGGAATTAAGGTATTAATGTGAAGTTTTTAAAAATTATAGATTTTATACACAAAAAAATACATACATGTATACACATATATTTCCTAGCCCTCACCTCTGAGAGGGTCTGGAAGCTTTAATGCTCCAGAAGGAATAAACACACTTAGCACATAGTTACTGGTTTTTAAATGCCATTCTCTGCTATAAAGAACTGAATACTCTTGGAGAAATAGTTAATTCCAACAGTAGGGCATGAAAAATACCAGATGAACCTGAAACATTTTATTGAATTATGCTAAAAAATTCAGTGGGATATGTCAAGGGATGTAAGAGTCATTTTGAAGGCATTCCCACTGGCCAAATCTGGAAAAATTTGAGTATTAAAATAAATATTGGTAGGAATGGATTATAACTTACTGAATAGAATAAGAATCTATGAATTATCCTTATATAAATAAGTGCACACATACAAAAATCAATATAAGAGGAGAAGAGAAAACTCTCACAGCAGAATTCAAACTAATGATTAAGTAATAAATGCTGAGTTAGGAAATCCTAAATGGAGGATAAAAGTAGTGGGTAAAAGTTTGGTAAGCGTAGGACACTTACATAAATTTTCAAGTATCTTCCAACAATCTACATATCATTTACAAAGGGAAAATGGTAATTTTAAGTGGGAGACTCAACCTGAATTCTATGATCATGGCTAACATCACCAATATTGGGTCAACTGACATCATATGTCTCCTAATATGTTGCACTGAGACAGACACAGCATCACTTCTGTGATATTCTTGCCAAAAATGCATAACCTAAATTTAACCATGAGGAAACACCACATTCAAAGATACTCTACAAAAATGACTGTACTCTTCAAAAGAGTCCTCCTGATTCTTCATGTCAAGGTCAAGAAAACAAAGGAAGTCCCAGGAACTGTTCCATATTAAAGGAATCTAAAGAGACGTGACAATTAAACCAGAAAAAAAGTCTCTGATAGGATGTTTTCAGATAAAATAACATTTTGAGACAACTGATTAAATTTGAATATAGACTATGGATTATATAGTAATGTTGTATTCGTGTTAGATTTCCTGATTTTAATAACAGTATTATGGGTATGTAAAATAATTTTCTTGTCCCTAGTAAATACACACTAAAGTATTTAAGTTTAAAGAGGAGAAACCTTTATGACTAAAAGGGAGGAACACCATATCAATAGCGAAGACCCATTATTGTTACTGTTATTGACAAAATACCCAAGGTGATCTCAGGACAAAGTAAAACCATGCTTTGCCTTTAGAGGACCCTAACTTTTCAAAGGCTTTAGGTTGAGATGTGTGTAGCACAAAATTTACCATGAACTGGTACAAATTCTTGAGGATAGTAACAGTAATGTTATAGATAAGCCTGAATTTATGTTCTATCTTTTCTAAACATTGGTTCTGACCTAATTTAAAATTGTCTAAACTATGAGAAGTAATCTTGAAATCAGCCAACAATGAGTGGCAAGTGGGGCCACAGAGGAAGATAAAGCTTTGTAATACTGAGTCATCCCCATATCTGGCCCCATTTGCAATCAGGAGACAGAGAAAAGAGGTGAATTACAATCTGTTCCCTTAATAGTCTCTGTGCAATTCTCCACAGGACCACCCACCTCTGCCACTCCATTGTCCTGCTCAACACACATGTTCCTCCCTCCCCCACATCCTTTCCATTCGGAAATGGACTGCAGTCATTTTTCATATGTTTTTGTTTTTAATCTGAGCATCTATTGAATATTATTATATGCTTTTTAAAATCCATACACCCTGGCAAGAGTTAACAGGATTCCAGATAGTATCAAATATATTTAAACATGATGCTTGAGTGGTCTTTGCAGCTGGTAGGTTATACATAAAATATGTTCAGCCAGCGATAGCGTTCTTATCTAAAGACAGAAGCTAGCAAAATTTCATCCTGTGCGCTCTGTCAGATTGTTCCCTTGGACAGATGGCAGAAGACTCCCTATGACAAGTGTGAGATGCTATCTGGGTGTCATGGCAGTGGTTTTCTCATTGCCCTGGACAGAGCTCCCTGGCCGCTCTCTTCATTTGAAGCGTGCAAATGAGTAGAAGCGGCTGGCAGAATGTGTGTGATCAATAAACTCATGTAATTAGAATCTTTCTGAAAGAAGTCCCCCTGTGAGAGAACCTCTTTAGGGCTTGGTTCCTCTGGCTAGTTGGGGTTTTACATTGTCTTGCCCTCTTGTATATTTTTCCAAGTGAAAGGAATAAGCAGACAACACAAATGACCAATTTTTAATGTGTTGCACGCTTATCCAGAATTAGGCCTTTAATCCTCTGACTCATGGAATCAGTTGGGAGCTCACTAGGAAATTTAAACCCAGCACCCTCCTCAGTATCCTGTTTTTTGTTGTTGTTGTTGTTTTTGTTTTTTTGTTTTGTTTTAAGACGGAGTCTTGCTCTGTCGCCAGGCTGGAATGCAGTGGGGCTATCTAGACTCACTGCCACCTCCACCTCCTGGGTTCAAGCGATTCTCTTGCCTCAGCCTCCCAAGTAGCTGGGACTACAGGGGCATGCCACCACTCCCAGCTAATTTTTGTATTTTTAGTAGAGACAGGGTTTCACCATGTTGACCAGGATGGTCTCGATCTCTTGACCTCGTGATCCACCTGCCTCGGCCTCCCAAAGTGCTGGGATTACAGGTGTGAGCCACTGCACCCAGCCTCCTGTCTGTTTTTATCTGATCTCATCTCCCTGCTGCTAAAAAGCACTGCCACTCAATGCCCATAAGTCCATGTAACCACAAGCAAAAGTCCCTCTGTTGAGTCCCTACACTGTGCCATTTTTATACTCATGTGCACAGGTTCCCTCTTTAGACCACAGGTCGAGCTCACACATCTCCTTGGAAGCCATCACTGGGTAAGCCTCCCTACTCACTCTAGCCATTTGTCCCTGGCTGAATAGTAAATATTCCCTCCATGCACTTTGGCAGGTATTATATTTATATACCTCTATAATTGCACATATATACAGAGAAAGAGATCACTTATATATTTACTGGTAAAAACATGTAACATAAAATTTACTGTCTTAACCATTTTTAACTGTATAGTTCAGTAATGGTTAAGTATATTCATGTTGTTGTGTAACCAATATCCAGAACTCTTTTCATCTTCCAAAACTAAAACTTTGTATCCATTAAACAACAGCTCCTCATCCCCTATTTCTCTATCTCCCTGGCCATCGGTATTCTATTTTCTGTTTCTATGAATTTGAACACTCTAGATATTTCACATAATTGGAATCATACAATATTTGCTTTTTTTGAGACTGGCTTATTTCACTTGCCATAATGTCCTCAAGGTTCATCCATGTTGTAGCATGTGTCAGAATTTCCTTCTTTTTTAAGGCCAAATAAAATTCCATTTTATGTATATACCACATTTTATTTAACCACTGATAGATAAATGGATAATTAACTCTTTATTAGATACACATCAACTCCTTATCAGATGTATGATTTTCAGGTATTCTCTCCCATTTCATGGGTTGCATTTTCACTCTGTTTGTGCTCATACATTTTAAAAGTTCTTTTAATGTGCAAGTTTTTTGAGAGGGGAATCCAGAAGCCGTTCATTCTTTAGTTGATATTCATGCCAAATATTTAGAAACTCAGTAACATGTCTCAAAATTCACATCATTTGATAATGTTGTAACCACTTCAGAAAAGTATACAAAATCACGATTACCCAATCACCCTGATGTGATTATTATGCATTGCATTCCTATATAAAAATGTAGCATGTACCCCATAAATATAAATACCTATTATATACCCACAAAAGTTAGAAATTAAAATTTTTTTAAGTGTAAAAAATCATGAAGAGTTTATAAACCTATTCTTCTTGTATCTTCCCCTTCTAGCCAGTGTGACCACCTTCCTGTTATGTTCAAACCTTAGCACTTATTGTCATCACTTAGGCACATGTTTCTCCAAATATATCTGTGGCCTTGAAGGCATTAAATAGCTCCCTTGATATTGCCCTGACTTCTTGCTAAGCCTGAGAAAAGGAAGGTGGCTTTAAAAAATTATATTTACTCCAAGAAAAAGAAAGCAATCGGATTACTCAAGAAACTATTCCAGTCAACAAAGTATTTGGCTAATTGCAATGTTGATAGACTACATCAAAACGAAATAATATAGAACTCACCCTCTAGAGTGATGAAGTAGGACTCCATCCCTTCATAAAAGCAAGGAGAATACTGACAAAACTGTCAAAATTAGCTTTTTCAGAAAGGCTCGTAACAATCAAAGGAGAGTTAATTCAAGAACAACAACTTCATTTCTCTAAGAACAGCAACCTTATGTCCTTTTGACTTGTCCTACTCCCGTGCCCTTCTCCCCAGCTCTGCGGTAGCTTTGAAAGCTAGCAACCTCACAAACACAGTAGTTGTGAAAACCAGAAGCCCATTAGCCACTGGAGAATGGGAAACAAGGCACAAATTGGTTTCAAGCTCCCCAGAATTCCCATCCCCAGATACTTGTCACTATTTAAGCTGTCTGGGAACTTGTTTGAAACTTCCATTCTCAGGGCTTGTCTTTTACATGAGTCAGGGTTCATTTTGTGTGACCAGCCCTACCCTCAGACACTTGTCAAAAGCAAACAGCTGCAAGTGTTTGATATCACAACTGCCCACATTGCAAATGACCCAATTTCTTAAAATTTAAATTTTAAAAAATGGGCAAAGTACTTGAATAGAATTTCTTCAAAGAGGTCATTTGTCAATAAACCATGGGGAGAAGAATGCTTAACATCATTAGCCATTAGAGAAATGGAGATCAAAATCACAATAAGGTACCACGTCATACCCACTAGGATGGCTATAAAAAAAATAGGGCTACTAACAAGTGTTGGCAAAGATATGAAGAAATTTGATCCCTTGTACATTGCTGATGCGAATGCCAAATGGTGTATCCGCTTTGGAAAACAGTTTGGAGGTTCCTTAAAAAGTTAAACAAAGTTATCATATGACCCAGCAATTCCACTCCTTGGTATATCTCCAAGAGAATAATAACATATGTCCACACAAAAACTTGTTCATGAATGGTCATAGCAGCATTGCTCATAATATAAAAAAATAGAAACAAAATGCCCATCAACTGATGATGAACTGATAAACAAAATATGGTATATCCATATAATGGAATAAGGTTTTGATACATGCTACAAGATGGATGAACCTTGAAAACGATAAGAAGTGTGAAAGAAGCCAGACACAAAAGGCCACAATTATATGCTTCCATTTATTTGAAATGTCCAGAATAGGCAAACCCATAGAGACAGAAAGTAGATTGGTTGTGGTCAAGGAATGAGGGAGGAGAAAATGGGGAGTGAACACTAATAGGTACAGGAATTTTTTTAAAGGGTGATAAAAATGTGCTACAATCAGTTGTGATCAATGCATAACTTTGTGAATATTCTACAAAACACTGAATTGTACACATTTTAAATATTAATTTTATAGTATGGGAATTACATCTCAATAGTTATCTTTTTAAAAAGGAAATGATGCAGAAGGGGCCATAAGCCCAGGATTTGTGATATATGAGGTATCAACACTGATGACTTCAAAATGATCTCTCCAAGTCTATTATCTGCTCTTTGTTATTAGACATTGTTTTGAAGTTATTCTGTGATTGTGCTTTGAGAAGTGTTTTTCAACCTTGTCTCCTGCCAAGTTTACCTGAACTACTTAACCAACATTTGGGTTAAACATGGCCTTTGTTCTTCTAACATCCCATTAAGTAGAGTTTATACAATGGCCTTAGAACTAGTCCTTGTATAGTAGAGTGGATTAGAAATCTTGGGCTAATTTAGCATCTGTCAAGAATAAAGCTACCTCCAAGAGCTGTTCAAGGGCCATGATAAAGGGAGATTCCAGTTCCAGAGAGTGTATTTACTTGGTACCACCACTTCAGCTATACTCTTATGTGGTTTGACCAAAGTTTAGAATATCTCATATCTTAGTAGCACAGTTCTTTATAGCCCTCAATCTCTAGACCTCTTTGGTTCCTAGATAGTGTGCACAATTTTCTTCTAAGCTTATTGCCAGCCAGCGTTCTCCCTGAGAAGTAGGTGGTGCTTTGGGATGCCTGCTCTATTATTGACCATTTGCAGACTTAAAAGCATCTTTGTGACATTTTCATGAGTCAGATGCCTAGCTTTGTTGATCCTTCCTTGGGCTCTGTGGAAAGAATTAGTTTACTGGCCAATACACCTATATTGACTCTAAATTATACACACTTACACTGAATCTGCATATAATATTCCCATGAGACAGCAAGATAGTTGTCTGATGGAGCAGGGAATTTCCACTGGAATAAAGCAGGTTTATACTCTACTCCCCACCACCACCTTATTTCTAACTTTTACCTTAATGACTTGAGACTATAGTCCACTATCCATCCTCCATCAGACACTCTACTATAGGCAGCAGAAAAATCGGCAAACGCCTATGTGCAGATAATGTTATTTTATTTCCATGAATGGAAAAGTCCATGTAGAATGGACTTTTGCTCTTCTGGTCCATCTTGCTCTTACTTTCTAACTACTACTAGGGCGTTCAATTGATAGCAAGATCAGTTACCCCAAAATGAAAGTCATTGATTTTAGTAAATATTTTTCATCTTTTAACTAGCCTTAGCTAAAATGCATTAGCAAAAAGTCTATATCCATAATTGGTTCCAGGGCTAGTGGCTTAATCTAACATTTTTGTAAGTGATTTTGTAAACTGATAGAGCAAGCATTTTACTATCAGGTTATCTTGGATAGTTGACCTGGAAATACATTGTTTAAAGTTAGGGGCACTTTACTGAGGTCTGCATTCACCTACATGTATTTAGGAGTGTTCACAAGCCAAAATGGTGTGGCTGTGAGCACCTCCCTACCCAAACATTGGCTCTGATCCTAAACTGCTTTTTGTGTAAAGGCTTGATTTTCACTTGTGGGCATTTCATGTGGAGGACAATTGGTTTTATTTTTAGTTGAGGTCCCAGCAATGTTTCTCCACAGTCATGACACTCAACCCTTGTACAGTTGGTTGTTGAAGCACTGAGCCCTGCATTCACCTGGCCACATGGAATATATTCAGGCCAATCACTCGCCAGGGAGGATGCTCTTGAATCCATTACCGCTTAATACTTATTAGTAGTTCACTTGAGTCATCCATAGTACTGTTCTTACCAAATTCTATGCTGCCATTTGTATAGTAATCCTACATGGGGGAGCACACTAAGAACTTAATTGGTGAAACATGTTGCATTTACTGTAAGAATGTTATTGAGGATGTATCAGGACCCAGGAGAGAAATTTTGAACCTCTGAAGAAGACGCTTTTGTGCCTTTCCTAAGCAACTGCTTTTAACTCTACCTCAAAGACACTCTAAACCATGTAATTGATCCTATTCCCTTCTTCATTCTGGCCATGAGGAAACTCTGAGGCAGGTTTATAGCACACTCTAACAGTACTCGGCACTTACGGTGCATGAACTTATTCTGGCTACATCATATTTTTCTACCCTTCTATTACCTTGTCCCTATTTTCTCGCTGAATTTTTTTTTTATCTTTGTGGGTATTTTTGTAAGCTGCTTCAAACACATCTTGCAAAGAGGATGGATAAATAAATACATTTTTGTAATACTGCTGTGTGAAGTATAGTTCTACAAAGCAGTAGGATAAAAATCTTATCAGAAAAAGGGACTTCTGTAGAATCTCTGTGGGTAGACATTCTATTCTCACATAATTAAAAAGCCATAATAGGAATATGTTACAGCCCACCTGACCAGGACACTGAGATAGAAATGTTAATTGAGATTGTGGAAACTGCAAAATTAGGCCAGGTAGTAATAATGAGAGACTTTAATTACTCAATCATAGATTGGCAAAATGCCTCACGGGGACAAGGGTTGGAAGTGAGATTTTTAGATAAGAGAAATTACAGCTTCTCAGAGAAAGTAGAGAAGGAGCTGTATGGTCAGGGAATATTCTAGATAGGGTTCTGACACTGGATGGAAACTGGTCCACGGGGTGATGCAAAAAGCATCAACACTGACTACATGCAGTTTACTTCCATAGCCTTGTGGGCAAGTTAAAATTCACTACATGTCTACCTTATATTATAAAGTGTCTGGTGATAAAAATGAAAGTTAGAATTTTAAAATTCAGTAACAAGAAACAAACCAAGAGAATACTTTCAAAGCAACTTATCAGCAATCCAGGGAAAATTCCAAGGGGTTATGATAATCTTCAGTGGCTAGTTGACTGAGTCAGAGATGTAATTGCTGGGGCAGGGGAAGGAAGATGTCTTCAAAAGAAGAAAAAAAAAATGGAAGAAGACATGTAAACCCACAAAATATACAGGTGAGGAATAACTTAAAATTATACAAAGAACAAAAAATATGATGCATCATGTAGAGGATTCCAAAGGTCCTAGTGTCAGGCCTCTGAGCCCAAACTAAGCCATCGCATCCCCGGGGACTTGCACGTATGTGCCCAGATGGCCTGAAGTAACTGAAGAATCACAAAAGAAGTGAAAATGCCCTGCCCCACCTTAATTGATGACATTCCACCACAAAAGAAGTGAAAATGGCCGGTCCTTGCCTTAACTGATGACAGTGTCTTGTGAAATTCCTTCTCCTGGCTCATCCTGGCTCAAAAGCTCCCCTACTGAGCATCTTGTGACCCCCACTCCTGCCTGCCAGAGAACAACCCCCTTTGACTGTAATTTTCCTTTACCTACCCAAATCTTATAAAACGGCCCCACCCCATCTCCCTTTGCTGACTCTCTTTTTGGACTCAGCCCACCTGCACCCAGGTGAAATAAACAGCTTTATTGCTCACACAAAGCCTGTTTGGTGGTCTCTTCACACGGACGTGAGTGAAATTTGGTGCCGTGACTCAGATCAGGGGACCTCCCTTGGGAGATCAATCCCCTGTCCTCCTGCTCTTTGCTCTGTGAGAAAGATCCACCTACAACCTCAGGTCCTCAGACCAACCAGCCCAAGAAACATCTCACTAATTTCAAATCCGGTAAGCAGCCTCATTTTACTCTCTTCTCCAACCTCCTTCACTATCCCTCAACCTCTTTCTTATTTCAATCTTGGCGCCACACTTCAATCTCTCCCTTCTCTTTATTTCAATTCCTTTCATTTTCTGGTAGAGACAAAGGAGACATGTTTTATCTGTGGACCCAAAACTCCGGCGCTGGTCACGGACTAGGGAAGGCAGCCTTCCCTTGGTGTTTAATCATTGCAGGGATGCCTCTCTTGATTATTCACCCAGGTTTCAGAGGTGTCAGACCACGCAGGGACACCTGCCTTGGTCCTTCACCTTTAGCGGCAAGTCCCTCTTTTCTGGGGGAGAGGCAGGAACCCCGACCTCTTATCTCTGTGCCCCGATCCCTTATTTCCATGCCCCGACCTCTTATCTCTGCACCCCAACCCCTTATTTCCATGCCCCGACCCCTTGTCTGCTTTTCTGGAGGGCAAGAACCCTCCACCCCTTCTCTGTGTCTCTACTCTCTTTTCTCTGGGCTTGCCTCCTTCACTATGGGCAAGCTTCCACCTTCCATTCCTCCTTCTTCTCCCTTAGCCTGTGTTCTTAAAAACTTAAAACCTCTTCAACTCTCACCTGACCTAAAATCGAAGCACCTTATTTTCTTCTGCAATGCCACTTGACCCCCAGTACAAACTGGACAGTAGTTCCAAATAGACGGAAAACGGCACTTTCAATTTTTCCATCCTACAAGATCTAAATAATTCTTGTCGTAAAATAGGCAAACGGTCTGAGATGCCTTACGTCCAGGCATTCTTTTACACATCAGTCCCTCCCTAGTCTCTGTTCCCAGTGCAACTCGTCCCAAATCTTCCTTCTTTCCCTCCCACCTGTCCCCTCAGTCCCAACCCCAAGTGTCGCTGAGTCTTTCTAATCTTCCTTTTCTACAGATCCATCTGACCTCTCCCCTCCTCGCCAGGTTGAGCTAGGTCCCAATTCTTCCTCAGCCTCCACTCCTCCACCCTATAATCCTTTTATCACCTCCCCTCTTCACACCTGGTCCGGCTTACAGTTTCGTTCCATGACTAGCCTTCCCCCACCTGCCCAGCAATTTACTCTTAAAAAGGTGGCTGGAGCTAAAGGCATAGTCAAGGTTAATGCTCCTTTTTCTTTATCCCAAATCAGATAGCATTTAGGCTCTTTTACATCAAATATAAAAATCCAGCCCAGTTCATGGCTCCTTTCGCAGCAACCCTGAGACGCTTTACAGCCCTAGACCCTAAAAGGTCAAAAGGCCGTCTTATTCTCAATATACATTTTATTACCCAATCTGCTCCCAACATTAAATAAAACTCCAAAAATTAAATTCCGGCCCTCAAACCCCACAACGGGACTTAATTAACCTCGCCTTCAAGGTGTACAATAATAGAGTAGAGGCAGCCAAGTAGCAACATATTTCTGAGTTGCAATTCCTTGCCTCCACTGTAAGACAAACCCCAGCCACATCTCCAGCACACAAGAACTTCCAAACGCCTAAACCACAGTGGCCAGGCATTCCTACAGAACCGCCTCCCCCAGGAGCTTGCTAAAGGTGCCAGAAATCTGGCCACCAGGCTAAGGAATGCCCACAGCCCGGGATTCCTCCTAAGCCGTGTCCCATCTATGCGGGACCCCACTGGAAATAGGACTGTTCAACTCACCTGGCAGCCACTCCCGGAGCCCCTGGAACTCTGGCCCAAGGCTCTCTGACTGACTCCTTTCCAGATCTTCTCGGCTTAGTGGCTGAAGACTGATGCTGCCCGATCACCTCGGAAGCCCCGTAGACCATCACGGACGCCAAGCTTTAGGTAACTCTCACAGTGGAGGGTAAGTCCATCCCCTTCTTAATCAATACGGAGGCTACCCACTCCACATTACCTTCTTTTCAAGGGCCTGTTTCCCTTGCCTCCATAACTGTTGTGGGTATTGACAGCTAGGCTTCCAAACCTCTTAAAACTCTCCAACTCTGGTATCAACTTAGACAATACTCTTTTAAGCACTCCTTTTTAGTTATCCCCACCTGCCCATTCCCTTATTAGGCTGAGATATTTTAACCAAATTATCTGCTTCCCTGACTATTCCTAGACTACAGCTGCATCTCATTGCCGCCCTTCTTCCCAACCCAAAGCCTCCTTTGCGTCTTCCTCTCATATCCCCCCACCTTAACCCACAAGTATGGAACATCTCTACTCCTTCCCTGGCAACCGATCACATGCCCGTTACCATCCCATTAAAACCTAATCACCCTTACCCCGCTCAACGCCAATATCCCATCCCACAGCATGCTTTAAAAGGATTAAAGCCTGTTATCACTCACCTGTTACAGCATGGCCTTTTAAAGCCTATAAACTCTCCTTACAATTCCCCCATTTTACCTGTCCTCAAACCAGGCAAGACTTACAGGTTAGTTCAGGATCTGCGCCTTATCAACCAAATTGTTTTGCCTATCCGTCCCATGGTGCCAAACCCATATACTCTCCTATCCTCAATACCTCCCTCCACAATCCATTATTCTGTTCTGGATCTCAAACACGCTATCTTTACTATTCCTTTGCACCCTTCATCCCAGCTTCTCTTCACTTTCGCTTGGACTGATCCTGACACCCATCAGGCTCAGCAAATTACCTGTGCTGTACTGCCGCAAAGCTTCACAGACAGCCCCCATTACTTCAGTCAAGCCCAAATTTCTTCCTTATCTGTTACCTATCTCAGCATAATTCTCATAGAAACACACACGCTCTCCCAGCTGATCGTGTCCGACTGATCTCTCAAACCCCAACCCCTTCTACAAAACAACAACTCCTTTCCTTCCTGGGCATGGTTGGATACTTTCGCCTTTGGATACCTGGTTTTGCCATCCTAACAAAACCATTATATAAACTCACAAAAGAAAACCTAGCTGACCCCATAGATCCTAAATCCTTTCCCCACTCCTCTTTCTTGTCCTTGAAGACATCTTTAGAGACTGCCCCACCCTAGCTCTCCCTGACTCATCCCAACCCTTTTCATTACACACAGCTGAAGTGCAGGGCTGTGTAGTTGGAATTCTTACACAAGGACCGGGATCGCGTCCTGTAGCCTTTTTGTCCAAACAACTTGACATTACTGTTTTAGGTTGGCCATCATGTCTCCGTGCAGCAGCTGCTGCCGCCCTAATACTTTTAGAGGACCTTAAAATCACAAACGATGCTCAACTCGCTCTCTACAGCTCTCATAATTTCCAAAATCTATTTTCTTCCTCACACCTGAGGCATATACTTTCTGCTCCCCGGCTCCTTCAGCTGTACTCACTCTTTATTGAGTCTCCCACAATTACCACTGTTCCTGGCCCGGACTTCAATCCAGCCTCCCACATTATTCCTGATACCACACCTGACCCTCATGACTGCATCTCTCTGATCCACCTGAGGTTCACCCCATTTCCCCACATTTCCTTCTTCCCTGTTTCTCACCCTGATCACACTTGGTTTATTGATGGCAGTTCCACAAGGCCTAATCGCCACACACCAGCAAAGGCAGGCTATGCTATAGTACAAGCCACTAGCCCACCTCTTAGAACCTCTCATTTCCTTTCCATCGTGGAAATCTATCCTCAAGGAGATCACTCCTCAGTGTTCCATCTGCTATTCTACTACTCCTCAGGGATTGTTCAGGCCCCCTCCCTTTCCTACACATCAAGCTCGGGGATTTGTCCCTGCCCAGGACTGGCAAATTGACTTTACTCACATTCCCTGAGTCAGAAAACTAAAATATCTCTTAGTCTGGGTAGACACTTTCATTGGATGGGTAGGGGCCTTTCCCACAGGGTCTGAGAAGGCCACCGCTGTCGTTTCTTCCCTTCTGTCAGACATAATTCCTCGGTTTGGCCTTCCCACCTCTATACAATCCAATAGCAGACCAGCCTTTATTAGTCAAATCAGCCAAGCATTTTTTCAGGCTCTTAGTATTCAGTGAAATCTTTATGTCCCTTACAGTCCTCAGTCTTCAGGAAAGGTAGAACAGACTAATGGTCTTTTAAAAACACACCTCACCAAGCTCAGCCACCAACGTAAAAAGGACTGGACAATACTTCTACCACTTTCCCTTCTCAGAATTCAGGCCTGTCCTCAGAATGCTACAAGGTACAACCCATTTGAGCTCCTGTATAGACACTCCTTTTTATTAGGCCCCAGTCTCATTCCAGACACCAGACCAACTTGGACTGCGCCCCAAAAAACTTGTCATCCCTACTATCTTCTGTCCAGTCATACTCCTATTCACCGTTCTCAACTACTCATACATGCCCTGCTCTTGTTTACACTGCCAGTTTACACTGTTTCTCCAAGCCATCACAGCTGATATCTCCTGGTGCTATCCCCAAACCACCACTCTTAACTCTTGAAGTAAATAAATAATCTTTGCTGGCAAGGCTATGCTGAACCTCCTTAGGCACTCTCTATTTAGATGTCCTAGGTCCTCCCAAATTCTTAGTCCTTTAATACCTGCCCCATCACTTCAACACTATTTTGTTTTATTTTTCTTATTAATATAAGAAGGCAGGAATGTCAGGCCTCTGAGCCCAAACTAAGCCATCACATCCCCGGTGACTTGCACGTATATGCCCAGATGGCCTGAAGTAACTGAAGAATCACAAAAGAAGTGAAAATGCCCTGCCCCACCTTAATTGATGACATTCCACCACAAAAGAAGTGAAAATGGCCGGTCCTTGCCTTAACTGATGACAGTGTCTTGTGAAATTCCTTCTCCTGGCTCATCCTGGCTCAAAAGCTCCCCTACTGAGCATCTTGTGACCCCCACTCCTGCCCGCCAGAGAACAACCCCCTTTGACTGTAATTTTCCTTTACCTACCCAAATCTTATAAAACGGCCCCACCCCTATCTCTTTTCGCCGACTCTCTTTTTGGACTCAGCCCACCTGCACCCAGGTGAAATAAACAGCTTTATTGCTCACACAAAGCCTGTTTGGTTGTCTCTTCACACGGACGCAAGTGAAACCTGGGAAAAGTTCTTTGAACTATCAGGGAAAGGAAGAAAGTTAACAAAACAATGAGATCTCTTTAAAATAATGGCAGCAAAGCTGAACAAAAGGAGAAACAAATAGCAAAAGGTTGATAAAGTCTTTGCCTTAATTTTCAGAGAGATTCACCTCTTTATAAAATATCCCCTGAAACCCAGGTAAGAATTAAGACTACTATAAATATGATCATTGATCACAATAAGCTAATGTACCCAAAAATGTAGATAATTTGGAGACTTTGGGGGTAAAATATTCAAAGAAGAAACAGAGCAATTTTTAGTTACACTGTGTATCTGTCATAGATTACCCCTGTCTTAGAAATACTGAGCCAACGCAGGGGAATTATAACTAAATACAGGCTCATTGTATACTTTTTTTTTTTAAATAAAATCTAGGAAGAAAGAGAATATAGCTTATGAATGGATGAACAAATTAATATTTTTGGTGCCAAATATATAAATACATTAAAAATGCTTAACCAAGAAAATATTTTTAATTGAATTAAGATTTGAGGAAAGGGATGACAGCATGATGATTTTAGGCAAAAGATGTATAAAAACATAGTGTGCCAGAGATTGGCTCCAGGCCTAGTGATTTAATTTAACATGTTGGTAAGTGATCTGAAAGAGGGATAAAACAGCAAATGCTCTAATAATTCTGGTTATTAAAGAGGCATAACCATCAAGAAAAAATCTTCATGTGTTTTGGAGGATGCAAATAGAGAGCAAAACAATGGATGAACAATACCTCTAGGAATAAATAAATCAAATTTTCCTAATAAAAGGAGAGTTTCAATTTGAAAAAAATATTCCAAATAAAATAATGTTCTTCCTAACTTTCTACCCAAATCCTTTCCTTCTAAGTAATCTACACACTGAGGCAGTCTGCAGGAGTGGAGTCTGTCTTTCACAGGCATCCTCTCAGAAACACTGTTCCTGGAGTCTGCTGGGGCTAGCAGGCAAGCCCTGTTTGGGCACAGTTTGTTTCAACAAAAGCAGCATCATTCATAGTTTATAGTGCCTTACCATGCACAAGTCATGTTCCTATCCAGTGCTGCATTGCATCCTGTCACAATATGTTATTCATTTCATTTACAGATCAGGAAACTGGGGGGTAGTAAACACAAAAGCAGGGCTGCCTGGCTCACCTCCACTACTGGACGTGTTTCCAGGGCTAGTCCACACCTTCGCCAAGCACCCTCCTCCAAAATATTAGGATAAAGAGACACTCTTTGAAACTTGAAAAAAAGAGAGTTTCAGACAAATTTAAAAGAATGCAGATCACACAGTGGATAATAAATGAAGACGATTCATTAACCAAGAAGTACCATTGAGGGAAATGAAAATAAATGCAAAGGGTTTTGGCAGACTTTGAGAGGAAAGGATATTCTAGGTTGACATCTGGGAAGTTCATCTTTCTATACTTGAAATCTCACATGAAACTGCTCCTGCTAAATGAGTCCAAAATTGAAGCTGGTTCTCCAGCCCTGAATGCTTCACTTCTTTCAGAAGCCCATTCCAGCTCTTGAGGTCTGCACTGCTCTGCTGTGATTGACTCCCACTGTCCAGCCCACAGTCTCTGAGGTATGGCCTTGCTCCTGCTCCCTTGTGCAAGCATCTCTATCCCCTCTGATACTAGAGAATCTCCAGCTCATCCCTCCAGATGTCACACAGCACTTCCCTGTGGAGCCTTGGCCTGCTGCTACCCTTGATCTACTTTGTGAGTGCCTTCTTGGCTGCTGCCCAGATCCTCACCCTGGTCACTGTCTCTGGCCTTTGTGTTGCCCTGTTCTCCTGTGGGTAGAGGAGAGGCAGCCCACTGAAAGATCTCACTTCAACAGACTGTAGGAAATGCAGGATTTGCAACCTTTTACTAACATGAAGTCGAAGCTGCAAATCAATCCAGTGTCTGTAATCCCCCGATTGCATCTCTTTAGGAGAAGTTTTGTAAGTGAAGTGATTTGCAGGTGGTCTCTTTGATACAGATACCTGGGACAAATTGTAGAGTCTGGTTTGAAGAAGCAAGACTGTGAAGGACTCAGCACTCTTATCATCATGCTGAGTATGCGTGGCACACACTAAATTCTTTTTTTCTGGGTTTGCCTTTTTCTCCAGCTAGTGAGAAAACTACTAAATATCTTGTTCTAAGATGGTTTTGTTCTGGTCCCTATACAAGAGACAAGCTTGTTTTAAAAGGATATTTGAAGAAGTGGTAAAGAAAAGAAACGATCACTTTGTACTGCCAAATTATGACAAAGAAGTTGAGGATGTTTTGACAGTAAGCATATATGAGATCCTGAAATAATAACAGAGTTATATCCTAACTTTGACCTCTGCAAAGAGAGCTGAAAGTAAAGATTCCTCTAGAGAGCTGAAAAAAAAAAAAGCAATTTGTTAAATGATGATAAATAATATGTATAGTTTAGACAAACATGTACCTAATGCCTAAATAAGAGGGACCTAATTTTAAGAATGTTGCGAAGGAATCTGAAAAGTGATTTGAGTCTATCTCTTCCCAAGACAGTATATTAAGTTGTTTAAAAACATGGACTCTGGAGCCAGGCAGCATGGATTCAAGTCCCAGTCTGATACTTAGCTGTGTAACCTCGGGCAATTTGGTAACATCTATGATCTTGGTTTTCTCAACTATATGAAAGGGATAATAGTCCCAACCTCACAGAATGTAATGAATAATATCAAAAAGCCCCTAGAATAAATAAAGAAAGAAAGAAACCTACTACCTCACGAGGCAACCAGATCCTCACTTCTGTCTTACCTTCAGCTGAAACTAACCTCCTTATAAAATTCCACTTATTGGCCTAGTTTGGCAATATAAAATACTCACTTTTCCAGATGGCAACCCTTTAAATATTAGAAGACAATTACAGAATTTCCCTCTTAAAATACTTCTTTACAACTGAACAAACTAATTTCCTTGAATCTGTCATATGTGACAAACTCAATGTGTTGGCTAGCCCAGCAGCTGACTCCAACCTCTTTTATTCTTTCTTCCTTGCTCCCTCCCACTCTAATGCTAGGTGCCAATATTTGCTTTCCCAGCACCCCCTTACATCTAGGAATAGATGGGTGGCCAAGCCCTGACCAAGAAGACCAAGGAGACATAAGGAAAGTTTTCTTGGGGACTTTTGACTTTTTCATAAAAGAGATGGAGCCACCTACACTGTCCACGTTGCCCCTTCTTCCTGCCTTTAACATGGATGTGATGCCTGGGGCTTCGTGGTTGCAAGACAACCACTGCAGCTTCAGGCATAGGGATGCTAAAGATGGAGGAACAAACATATGCAAAGAGCGTGGGCCTTGACGTCAGGGTTGAGCTGCTGAATAGGTGCCAGTAATTGTGCATAATGTATATGAAGAGAGAAAGAGAAAATGTGACAAAGTGTTCAGGTTTGATGGATCTGTTGAAGCTCTTTGTACTATTTTAACACTTTTCTGTATGTTTGAAATTATGTCACAATAAAAAGTGAAAATGACATGTTGGCACAAATATCTATGCAAAAGGATACTGCAAAATTTGTTTTTATGAGCAAAAGTTCATCAAGAACTAAGTGGGCATCTTTGGGAAAACTCTTAAATAAATCACATATACCCATACTAAGGGCAGCCCTTGAAAAGAATGAAATATATCTCATTCTTTACTGACCTAAAAAGTCCTTCAAAATATATTGTAAAGTGAAAAACAGCAAGCTGTGTAATAACATGCCAAGTATGATTCACATGTGTGAAAAAACACACAAAGAATATTCTCTCTGAGCGTGTATAAATTGTTAGAAAATGGGCTGGAAGGATATACATCGACATCTAAACTGTGGTTATTTTCAAGAATGAATGTTAGACTGGGGGTGGAAGTGAAAAATACAGTGAAGTAAAACTTTTACATTTTACTGTACTTTGAATTATTTTTCAATTACTATGAACATATATATTTAGAAAAGTAGATTTTCCTTCTTTCTGCCAGATGGGAACACTGCACTAGTATTCCTAACTGATGAATCTTGTTCATAACTTGTGCTAAGGCCCATTCTCAGCTTTATTCACTGTGATGCTTTTTGATAGGGTTCTCTTCCTGTTTCTAGTTCATCCTTATTTGGGGTTCTTTTGTTATTTTTGTACGTATCTCTGAGGATATGAGTCCACCGAAGGCAATAGGAGAGGCCTTAAGAATGCCTTTCACTACTTGTCACTATTTTTTTCATTGCAGCTGTGTAGAACACTAACAGCTTCAGTGTAGACCCTGTAGGCCCATCTCAGGCCATGAGACTACACCCTAACTGGGAGAAATAAATGTCACTGTCAAGTTCAAATGAAAATGTATCTTTTTTGTAGGAAAATGTGCAGCTACACACATTTTATGGTCAAAGACTGCCTTTTTCATGTTTGATTTTTCAAAATCTCACAAGGGAGAACAAAAAATGTTCTTTTTATTTATCATCTCTCCATGCTTCCTCATTAAAATGAAGAGAAGCTAACATTATAACAGTGTTGATTAATTACAGATATGAAGCATTTAAATATGTCCCCATTTCTTCATCTAGGAACACTTGGAATGAGGTGACAGGCATTCGGGACAGTGGAGAGTGTTGTGAACTGTGGGACTGCCTTTCTTTTCTTGTAAGCAGACAGGAGAGCTGGCTACTAATTTTACTTCAGAAACTGTTCGTTTCCAAATTCTCCAATTGGCCAGTACAGATGTGTTTTCTGAAGGTCTCCATTGCCTATTTCACTCTCTATGTTTAAAGAATGCAGAAAAGTATGAGTCTCCACCTTACTTAACTGTGTATCAGTCAAATTATAGTAATTCCTATAAATAACTCGAGTATTTGGAGTATATACAATATTCAGTTGCCTCCAGTGAGAGAAGCAGCAGAAAGAAAAAAGACAAATAAATGAAAGTAAAATTACTTATTCTTTTTGACTTCTCAAAAGTTAGAGAAAGACCGACTGCAAGAACTGGAGAAATACATGTAGTCAAGTGCTCTAAGGGATACACAATTCTCCCTTCCTCTCTCCCCAGTCCCCACCTCTTTCTTCTCCCTCCCTCCTTCCTCCCTGCCTTCCTCTACCTCAGAAAGTAATCTCATCCCTTCATCACATATTATTGAAATCCCAGTTCTTTAAAAAACTCTCATTTTTGCCCAGACTGAGAGCATGTCATTTGGAAGTGATGTGCAAGGCAAGAGATAACCAGGTAGAACTCAGCGATTCGCCACAGAAAATGGTTCCATGTTTGGCCGTAATGCTATCAGAGTCTGTCCCTCAATAGCTCTTTACTGCTCTGAGCTCAGAATCTGCTGATTCAAGACTTTGCCTGCATGGGGAGGCGTGAGGGTGGGAGAGAAAGGGAAGCCTAGCAGTGCAGGAAGAGTTAGGAAGAAATATTAATAGTTCTTCCAGAACACATAAGGGGATTTTTTTTTTTTTTACATAGAAATAGTGCCCCCTCCCCTTCTTTGCCTCTCTGTACCTCTCGTTCTGTGTCTTCATTTCATGCTGTGGTTGTGTCATTTCATGCTGTGGTTGTGTTGATTGGGAGAGAAGAATCTTCTCAGCTAGCTGCTTAGTACTAAGCAGATGCACTCAGTTGAAAATGGTTAGCGGTTAGGGGTTAGCCAAACACGGGCAGCAGAAGTGATAAAGGTAGGTACGGATGTTTGGGTGGTGCGGTAATGGGAATTCAAAAAAATGAAAGACTTCAAATCACCCAAAAGCACATTGGAGCACACATACATTTCCATTTGTATAGGTTCCAGAGAGAATCAACACACACTCCAAATGGGCTGACAAAATAGAAACATCTAGGAATAAGTTAGATATGATTCTATTTCATTAATAATTCATCTTTCAGTTCTAATAATTTCATACAAATTCAGAGAGAGATACCAAACTTTCATTGTCTTTGGATCCGATGGATTTTAAATGGTTATATTTTTGTTTAGCAATTATCCTCGTTTTAATAGTGCCTCTTCAACTTTTCCTTTATATGAATCCAAAAGTATTTTAAATTCATTGAATAAATAAGTTCTCATTTTTCAAAAATTTTGTTCTAGTATTGGCTTTCTAACTTTCCCTTGTGCTTAAATCATGGAGTTTTAGAGTCATGAAGACATTCATGTCCTCATTTATCAATAATGATCTTGAAAGTATAGAGGAAGCTCCATCAGAGTGAGGTAATAAATTCACAAATTATATTTATGTTTCCACATATTTTAAAGTGCCTCATTTCACATCAGGAGGCCAGACTCTTCAATATTATTCTGTGATGATGTCTTCAATCAAAAGAAGGCATTAATTGAAGAAACTGATAAGGAGCTTTGTGAATTAAAGTGAACATAAAGGCATAAGCCATTAATGTTTAAACTTCTATTTATTTCTATTTAGTTGATCTTAGTTATTCAGTTATGCAAATAATTTATCTACCATTTTGGAGAGTGAGAAAGTGAAGGAGAGAGTCCAGTCTTCATTGTTTCCCCATCTAATAAATCAACCTGATCTTAATGCTGAACTGCTTTTCATCTGGCTCTTATCTTTCCTTCCTATTCAGTCATGCTAGCACTTAGTAGCCTCCAGTACTCTTTCTTTTCTCCTACAACCTCAAACCTAATGCCAAGCCCCATCTAAAATTAAGCTCCCTCAACACATGCATATATATGCTGTGGCTAATAATTATATATATAAGGGAACTAGAATTGTGTCTGTGAATGAGAAAAATCTGTAAGTAACTTTATCCATCATCTTTCCTCTTTAACTCCTGAAAATACTCTTATATTTTGATGCGTGATTTTCACCATCTATTACTGTCAACCAGTAATGATGGTTGCAACCAAGGTGCTTGAATTTATACTCATGTGTGAATGGCATAGAATTTGTATTTCTTACCTGGGTTGATGCTCCAGGTAATTGTCACAAAATCTGACAAAAATGGGTGATCTCATTTAAGCTAATCAATTAAAAGGTAAAACAAAAAAAGAAGCCTAATTTATAAATACACTGGTACAACACCTTATCTATCTGTAATTATTAGGAAATTTTCAAAATTATTGAATCAATAATTTCAGTATCAAATTTATTTTACTTTACATTTATTTTACTTCAACTGTTTAAATAAAATAGAGATCTACAATATCTTACATGCCTCTGCTTTTCTAAAATAGAGAAAAGTGAACATAAAAACTTCTAAAACATTCAAAATTGCTACTAGTATCATTAATTATTACAATCTTATTTTCAAAGAAAACTAAAAAGAAAATAAAATATGGGTGCACTAAGAATTTCTCATGGACTAACTCCATGCCACGTCCTGTGCTAAGGCCACTTTTTCATAAGTGCCTTAAGAATAAGATAACCAGCCCCATACACTAGGAACTCCTAAGTGACTTGTATCCTCTGCTAAGATCTTCAGCAGTGTCTACATCTAGGACAATCAAAAGACTTTCACCACCACTATCATTATCATCATTACCATCATTATCACCATCATCATAGCTGGCATTTATTCCAGATAGTTACATTATCGCATTCAGTCTTCACAGCATCAACAGGAGATCTACAGTATTATTTTGCAGATGAGGCAACTGAAGTTGAAAGGGGTTTTGTAATGTCCACAAGGCCATACAGCTGAGACATTATGGAGGTAAGAAAGCCTATATTCATTATCATTAAGCTATACTTACCCCGATCCTACGAATCTACAGAGAGTTTTATCCCTGTGGTGTCTGATATTCCCTGAGGTAGACCCCTGACACCAGCATTTATGTCCATTTGCACATTCACTTTCATGACCTTTCAAATTCTTCACCTCCCACCTCACCTACCTTCTATTCAAATCAGCCTCACTGCATAACTGGCCACCAATGCATCCTACCAATATGACTGTGCCCTGGGTTATGACATCTCTTTCCACTGCTCTACCCTCCAGCCTTCTCAACTTTCCTACTTCCCCACTCCCATGAAACCCTTTTCTCGCTTTCCATCCTTCTATGCCTCTCCCTGACCTCCACTCACTGGACTCACTATCAGTTCATCTGACTTCTTCAACTTCATGAGCCCCTTCTGGAAAACTTATCCTTGATTCTTGGGTTGGCTATTTTTAACATGGCCTTCAGCCACCCCAGCTTCTCAGACTTCCTCCCTCACAAACTGCTGTTCACAGCTCTCTTCCCTTCTCCTGTTCCACGTGATGTTTCTAAATACAAAGTCCACTTAGACTTGCATAAGAGTAAGATGCAGTCGAGAAACACTAGCCACTCTTTCCTAATATGTGATGCTTGGCAAAACCTTTATTCATTTCTTCATTTTCCCTACTTCCCAAAGTTAACACTGTAAGCCTCTTTTGTTTTCCTGGGCCCACATTTCAGGACTCTACAACAGTATACAGAACCCTAAATCCTACTTTGAGGCTATTCAAGTTGCACCAAGTCACTTTTTGTTTTCATCCCTCAGCACCTGTGGCTGTCCACATTCATTCTCTTATCTTTCTTTTATCTCTAAGAAAAAGAGATAGTCTCTTTATTATTATTTGTACTCTCACATCTGTGCTCTGCTGCCCAAATATATCCTCCCCTTCAAGAACCTTGCTCTTCATTTATTATTTCCAGCCTCTCTTTGCAGGGCCCTTTTCTTCCAAGACATGCAGATGTCCTCAATCCTGGAGAGCACTGCTTTACTTTTTCTCTGCTCATCCCTCTAATGACCACTCTCATTCTCTTTTTTTTCACTGCCATAGTTTTTGAATGAATGATTTTCTACCATGTGACTTTTATTCTCACCAATCTACAGAAATGGATTCTTTCTCTAAGACTCTAATAAGGGTCCCTTCTCAAATTCAGTGACCTTTTCTCTGCATCATTTTCCTTAACTTTCTGAAATAACATATTTTGTTATCCACACCATTTTTCTTACAACTCCCTCTTTTAGTTTTCCATTATCTTGCATTAGTTTGTTTGAATTCCTTCTATTTCTCTACATAGTTTTCTGTTTCTTTTACCAGTCCTTCTTTATCTTCCCACTCACTAACGGTCACTATACATAGGTCTTTAATGACCACAGTCTTTTTCTTGGATTAATTAACTCTTATTGTTTCAGTTAGGCTGATAAAATAAATCCTCCTCCTCCCTCAACAGTGCACCTAACACCAGTCCCATTTCTTCCACTAGCCATAGGACAGCTCCTTAAATGTTCTCTCACAGCTCAAACTGATACACCAAAGTGTTGTTTTGCACAACAGTACACACATACACACACACACACACACACACAATAAAGTCTCCATTCCTCATCACTGTGCCCTGTTGTCATTAAGTATTGTTGGTACTACCTTTGAAAAATACCTGTCACACATCCCCTTCACGCTATTCCCAGACTAGCTCAGGCCATCAGCATGTTGTGATTTTGTAACATCTTCTTAACTATATTCCTCTCTGATTTACTATCCAGCTCAACCTTTCCATTACAGAACACTTTATTTTACTAACAAAGTCATTCATATTATTTTAGAAGTTTATAAAATAAAGATATAAAAAAGAAAACAATAAATCCGACTTATAAACCCATCATTAGATATAACCTCTAGTAACATTTCAATGTATTATCAGCTTTTCATACACAGCTTTTCAATATTTTATAAAATGGCATCATATGTTGTGTTTAAAACTTAAACATGTATCATGAATATATTCAATGTCAACAAGAACCCTTCATTATTACGTCATGGGATAAAATTTACATAACCATTGGTAAACATTCAACCTGTTTTCAGCATTTAGATTTGTAAACAATACTGTGAAACACATTCTTGAAGCTAAATTTTGTATACACACTTTTATTTAAGTAAAAATTTTGCGTCAGAATGGGTATTTTTAAGGCTTTTGACATAAATTGCAAAATTGCTCCTCAGAAAGGTTATAACAATTTGGAATCCCACTGTATGAAAAATCTCTACTTTCTTGGACCTCATGCACACTGGGTACCATTTTTTAAAAATCTATCCCAGGTGAGTGAAATGGTAAATTGAAGTTGAATCTCTTTTCATATGTTTGTTAGCCATTTGGAGACAAACCTACTAGGAAAAAAATAAAAAAACAATTGTGTGCCTATAGTTCACATGGAAACGAGGAAAGGAGAGTAAAGAGAAGGCTAGGAAGCTAAAACAGAGATAGAGTCCTCATACAGCACAGGGTTCAGAAACACTCTAATCCCCATCAGCTCTTAATATGTAGAATATTTAAATATCTCCACTAGAGATCTCCCCTCTTCCTCCCCTTGCCAACCCAAGTAAATAACAGCATCTAATGTTTTGAGGTAGACTATGGAGAGGCAGCACATGTGTATGTTTCTTCATTCCTTCTATTAGCTTCAAAGCACCCTTTAAAACGTGCCATTTCAATGAGAGTTATACAGCTGTCAGCTCACCGTGTCCTCTAGCTTCTGCACAACAAAAGTGAGATCTCCAGCCACATGCTCATTAGAGAATTCCACTCCAACTAAACAAGTTGGATACACTATGAAGCTCACTGAGCAGGGTTTGACTGGTATGGAAATGTATCTGCCTTTGATCCTGGCAAAATGTGTTTGTTGGAAATTTGGGATCTGTCAGAAAAGGAGGTAGTTTTAAATGAAGGTGAGGTGAGGTTTCAAGATGCAGTCTGGGGAAGACAGAAGAATGATCAGTGTGAAGCCACGAGAAAGGCTTGGATACACTGTAAAAAAAAAGAGTAGTCATTATCACCCAAAGCATTTATAGCACACCACTGTAGATATATTCAACTTTGGATGGGGTTTCTTATTATAATTGAAGGTTTAAATTCTACCTTCTCCCTCACAGCCAGATTAGGGAGATGTTCTTAATCTTCTCTCCTAGGGGTTGCCAAAAATGATCAGGGATTTGAAATATGACACAGCACATTGACAGAGCTATAGAAGAAGAGTTGCAATGATTTTTGTTTTTCTGAAATCTAGGATAATGACTTTTCCTTTCATCTGTAATTCCACTTAAAACTAAAATTAAAAAATTAGATCACATACATTCTCTCAAATGTTTAGGTGTGTTTCCATTTGGTCATCCTGAGCTTTTCAATGCTAGAATCTCAAGCCCAGAAAGGAAAGTCATTTGGCCCTGACTCCTCCTTCTACAGTTAAGGGAACAAGAAGTCCCAAGATGTGAGAATGCACTCAGTTTCCCTCTGCAACCATGTGGGGGAGTAAGGACTAGAATCCTGGCTTTGGAATCCGGATCCAGTGTTCTTTAGGACGCAGCCAATTTCCTGGCATAACATTCCAGGGAAGATTCCTTCCTTTATGGGTCTGAGACTGGAAAGCGAAGCAGAAATAAATTCCATGGATTCAGGGGCAGATTCTTTTGTAAAGAATGTCAGCTCTCTGTGCTCTCCCCTCCACTACATTCTCCCCAGGCTCCTCATTTTCTTTATCATTCCCTTCAGAGGACTGGACCTGAATCTGCTTGACTTGTAAATTAAATATCTGGAGCTGGAGTGACTATTCCCTTTAATGACTATTATTTGATTATCTTCATAACTTTACTTGTAATGCTTAAATTATTTTTAGCATTTTTAGCTCATATGTGATTAATCTTTAATGATAATTTGACAGTTTACTGACATGTTTCTAAATGATCTGTAATTAATTTTAAAGCATAACTCATTTTTCTCTAATTGCATACTTGTATTTACTTCATTATATGTGTTGGATTAAATATAGTAATGTTCCATTTGATCAAAACATATATTTTAAGTCTCACATTGCTGAAATGAAGTAGGGAATTTTGACAACATACAATTACATTTTTCAAAATTTCTGAACATAAAATTTATATAAACCCTCATCCTCCAAATATATTTATTACATTCAATGCAAAAATTAAAAATCAGAAACTCAGAACCTAAAATTCAATTCAGTCCTGAGACTAAGAACTAGGTCTTGTAGCTCTCAGCCCAATTCTCTCTCTTCTCTGTCACTTGCTTCATTTTTACTGTGATTATACAGCTGCTACCCTAAAAGTTATTGCATAGTGAAATACACTTTATTGAGGGTATGAGCTGCTAGGACTGGGGCAAGCAGCAAGAAGAGCAAGAGAGATTTAAAACAGCAACTTTGGAGAGAAGCAATAAATATTATCAATAACTAAGTCAGGAGTCAAGAGCACGATTCCAAAGAGGGCTGATACGATGTCATCATTAAAATGTCACCCCAGGACGTGGTGGCCCACGTCTGTAATCCCAGCACTTTGGGAAGCCGAGGCGAGTGGATCACTTGAGGCCAGGAGTTCGAGACCAGCCTCGCCAATAGGGTGAAAGCCCGTCAATATCAAAAATACAAAAATTAGTCAGGTGTGGTAATGCACACCTGTAATCCCAGCTACTTGGGAGGTTGAGACACAAGAATCGCTTGAACCAGGAGGCGGAGGTTGCAGTGAGCTGAGATGTACCACTGTACTTGAGCCTGCATGACAGAGCGAGACTCTGTCTCAAAAATAAATAAATAAATAAATAAATAAATAAATAAATAAATAAATAAATAAATAAAATGTCATCCTAAGCTTCTAGAGAAGGTCAAACCGACTGGGAGGAAATTCACCTTCCTATTTGCCATAGAATTCTTCTTGTTCCCACTGCACAATAAACCCTCCTGGTGCCTGCCATTCTCACCTTTTGCAGCTGTTTCTTCCATGTATTTTTGGAATGTGGTTTGTTTTCAATGCGACTTTGCAGGCTCTGCATTTTTCAGGAACTCTTTCACAATTTCTAGTGTACCAAAGAATCTTCTTACTTTTTCCAGTATGGTTATCAAAAGACACTCTACTAACATGTAATTTAATACAAAGATGTGTTCTCAAACAAGAATCACTAAATATTTGGTGAAACTCCACATTATGACAGCCAGTAACCTCAACAAATGGAGAAAATGTTACACAAGAAAGCATAATTACTAGAAGTAGCATAACAGTAAACTAACTTCAATTAACTACCTCTAAAACATATTAAAAATATAATATGTGCATGTATACATACATATGTGTGCAGTAATCATTTAGAGATCGTAGATACTAAAAACTAGATTGTTGAAGTCATAAATTCAATAGATGCCTACAAAGCAAAATGCACCTGGGAGAAGAACGATTAACAAGCTGGAAGTTTAAGTCAAGGAATCTTACCAGAATGAAGCAGAAATGAATAAATACATGAGTATGACAGCTAAATGAAGACACAAGGCCAAAAGTTTTATCATCTGATTAAAAAGAGTTCAAGAAAAGAAAATAAAGAAAATGTAAGGGAGTAAATTCATGAACACACAGAAAAAATTTCCAAATATTGAGAAAAAAAATGAATAAGCCCTTTTGATTAAATGGGCTTAGCAAGTATCGAGTAGAATAAAGATCCAACATGCACATACATGCACATACACACTTATTTACATCACAGTGATATTTCAGGACACCAAAGAAAAAAGAGAAGATTCTAAAATCTTTTATGGGAAATAAAAGAGTATACACAAAGGGACAAGAATAAAAGAGGAAGCAGAACATACTAGTTACAAGCTGGAGTGCATGGATTTGAAATCTGACTCTACCATTTGCAAACTACGTGACTTCAGACAAGGTATTTATCCTCTTGCATTTTCATTTTTCTATGCATATGAATACAACAAGCCCCACGTAGCTTTGGAATTTTAAAACAAGTTGTGCTCAGTGATAAAGGGGATGTTTAATCAAGAAAACATTCATTGTCAGCCTTAATGAGATCAACATCCTCATTTTTCTATATACTGGAGAGTATATAAAGATAGTATTTCCAGGAAGCAGTTAAAGTATTCATTGAATAATATAGTTTCAATTATCCAAGTTGCTCCTCAAAGTCCTGATAATTAGTCTTAGGTAAGCTTGACTGGAATTATTGTTGTCGTTGTTGCTTGGTTTGTTTGTTTTTTACTATTGGAAGGCGTATTTGCTACTAATTTGCCTATAATTACTATAGGCAGTTTATTTAAAATCTCTACCCCCAGTTTGCTTAACTGTTGATACCAATACCTACCTTGCAGGACTCCTGTGTGGATTTAACCATTTAATGTAACATAGGCAAGTAAAGAGAGGAATGATTGGCCCGTGATGGATGTCAGCCAAATAGCCGCTCCCTCCTATTCTCTCTCCTCATGCACAAAACAACTCATGTGCAAAGAAATTCCAAGAAAAGAGTTTTTCTTCTCCCTTTTCCATTCTTTCTTGCCTCTGACTTCTTTACTTTTGCTTCTGGGATGTGGGGTTTTTTTTCTTATAGGCATTAGTGAAAATTATTTTATTTAGAGGTATTTAAGGTCTTAATCCTTTCTCTTCACTCGGAATTTTCAAAATGTCTAGATGGCCTTTGAAGATAGAAAAGAGCAAATATGAGACATGAACTGAGAATCACATGCAAAGAAATAAGAATTAAATTAGGACAGTGAAGTCTGTTTCAACGTCACTATTTTGAGTTCCAGATAAATGTAAACGTGCTTAGGCATTATAATATGTTCCGTTGGTCTCATATTACAAACTATTTCAAGATTATTCAGAGTAAAGAATCTCCACCCCCACCCCCAGGACAGAAATGAGGCTGCTATTCAATATTCATATGAGAAATACATGTGGGACACCCTTGACTGCAGCCTCCACATAGGACAGTCACTGGGAAGTATCTGCCCGAGGAAGATCTTCTCCCGTGTGGCACAAATGCACATTCTATTAATAAACATTCTTTGCTTTAGAACCAAAGGGAAATTCTGGCTTGAAATTATTTTGTAAAAGACAACGGTTACTGTGTGTTTCTTCTATGCCTGCATAAGTGTAACATATTTTAAGGAAAATCTTTTTTAAAAAATTCATCTACAGATTAGATGTGTTAAAGGACATTCCTTACGTTGTGCAAAGATTTGCTATCGTATTCCTCTTAAAACAACCTCCCTTAAAAATGTTAATTCATCTACAAAACCACTTTACTTGCCCTATTTGCTTTATTTACAAGAATTGGGAAGCAAAGATGAGTGAGGGTAGAATTTGGAAGCACTTTGGAAGGTAGAGGTGCGAGGATCACTTGAGGCCAGGAGTTTGAGACCAGTCTGGATAACATAATAGGATCCCATCTCTACTAAAAAAAAAAAAAAAAAAAAAAAATTGCCAGGTGTCGTGGTGCATGCCTGTAGTCCCACCTACTCAGGAGGCTGACATGAGAGACTTGTTTGAGCCCAGGAGATTAAGGCTACAGTGAGCCATGATCACACCACAGCATGCCAGCCTGGGATGACAGAGTGAGACCCTGTCTCAATTTTTAAAAAAATGAATGGAAGAGTCTTTGTTCAACACGGGTTCCATAATCTCACTATGCTTAGAAATGTGTCAGCACAGAGCTTTCCCCATTCTCTCCTTCTTTCCCTGAACTATCTGTTCTTTTACCACTCTCCAAGAAAATGCAGGAGGCATTAGGAAAAGGAGCTAAATGTGGTGTCCATTTTAAGGATACATTTTCTTACCTTCGAAAGTGAAATTAAGGTGTTTTCACTTTTCCCTCTGCTTGAAAATTGCATCCAAATGCCAAGGAGAAAAAATAAGCAAGGAAACAAATGTTTCCAGTGACTACTGAAGTATAACGGGGGGGGGAGAGAGAGAGACAGAGAAGGAAAGCAGATGGGTAAGTAGTAAATTACTTAAGGAATGAAAAAGGTAACAAGTGAGAAGGAAGCCAATTCAACCACAGAACCCCAGAAAGGCTCAGTAAGTGTCAGATACTTCAGAAGACAGGGTAGAGGGGACCTGAAAACAGGAATTGTTTAGTCTGTATAAGGAACAGTTAGAAAGACCCGCCAAACTCGGCTCCTGTAGTCCCAGTTACTCAGGAGGCTGAGGTAGGAGAATGGCGTGAACCCGGGAGGCGGAGCTTGCACTGAGCCGAGATCGCGCCACTGCACTCCAGCCTGGGCAACAGAGCGAGACTCTTGTCTCAAAAAAAAAAAAAAAAAAAAGAAAGAAAAGAAAAGAAAAAGAAAGACCCGCTGAACTCATATCACTTAATTACATAGTCAAGTGATCAACTTTCCCATCTTTAGGGAATTGGAAGTATATTATCTGGAAAATGAGGACAAAAGAACTCCAGGCTTGGATCAGCTAGCATGGAGGAGGTAGGGGGTGAAATGCCAAACTACAATGGAAGAGTCCATTAAGTGAAAAACAGCTGAATAGGGAAACCCCTCCCCAGTGTTCTTTCCCAACCAGTTCCAGAAAGCTGTCAGCCCAGCTCATACATGCAGATAAAAGTAAACTACCCCAGAGGCAAGGCCTCACCCACATTCACAAAACTTTCGATGACTTTTTTAGAATCTCTTAAATACAAGTGAATAACAATATTTTACTGTGAAAGCAGAGGCTAAAAACTATGAAACAAACAGGAATTGGAAGGAAACAGAGACAATGCTTAGAAGAAAACTCCCAAAGACATAATAAAAACATCCTTAAAGAGAAAATATTACATCAATAAAATAAGAACATATTTTCAAAAAGAATAATCAGAGACGGAAAGAGATCTTAGAGATTACACATATGATTAGCCCGAATTAGAAAGCCAATAAAAAGATAAAAAAATAGAACAAAAAAGAAGAGTGAAAATGGATAAGAAAAGATGAGAAAATTTAAAAATCACTTCTAGAAGTCCAACATACAAGTAAGGAGAATTTTAGGACAAGAGACAGACAAGAAGGTGGAGAGAAAACTGTTTTTTTAATACTACAAGTATGCAAAAACCAGAGGACATGAGTTTTTAGATTAAAAGAGCCTGCTCACTACCTGCCACATGAACAAAATAAAACCTGTGTTAGGGCACATTCTCATAAAATTTAATAACATATCAGAGGGCCGGGGGTTGGGAGGAGGGAGAGCATCAGGAAGAATAGCTAATGGATGCTGGGCTTAATACCTAGGCGATGGGATGATCTGTACAGCTAATCACCATGGCACATGTTTAACTATGTAACAAACATGCACATCCTGCATATGTGCCCCTGAACTTAAAATACAAGTTGGAAATCAAAAAAAAAGAAAAGAAAAAAGAATTTCCAGAAGAAAAAGCAGATTACCTGTAAAGAATCAAGAAAAGAAGTCATGAGACTTTTCAGCAGTATTTGAATGAATGTGATTTTTTCAACATAGAATTCTATACCCTGCCAAAGTATTCATCAAGAGTGAAGATAGAATAAATATATTTACATACATGCAAAATATCAAAATTTTATGTTTCATAGACTCTTTTTCTGATAGATATGCATTGCTGAAAAGAAGGAAAGCTAGGGGCAGAGTCTCAGAGCAAAGAGATGAACTGAAAGTTTTTACCCTGTGGGCAGTTGTATCGAGAAGTGGTTATCGAGAGTTGGAGAGTGTTGGAAAACACAGCCAAGGATCAAAGAAAATTAAGCAAATAAAAATGTAAGACAATACTTAAATCTAAGAAAAGCCAGAAATCATATGAGAAAATGAAGGTATACACCCTACATTATAATATCCCATAACACAATAATACCCTATCTTGTACAGCATGGAAGAGTATTTTCCTAGTTATAATAATAAAAACACTAAGTAGGCACTTAATTAAAAATTGTGGTACTTATAAAGGGAGGAAAAAGAGTGGATAATGGAGATGGCTGAGACTGCCAAAATTTTCATGTACTGTAAGGTAAACTCAATGTGTAAATGCAGCAAAAATAGGAATATTTATAGATATGTGGAGTAAGTATTAGGAAAAGAAACTAGAAACTTTAAAGTTGTTGCCTCTTCTAAGGATGGAGAAGGAAGGTGGAAGAAGGTGGGAAATAACTGCTATTTTTGGTCATAAGTCATTTAGCACTATTTGACTATTTAAGGTAATATATTGATAAAAATTAAACGTTGATAAACATTTTTTTACTCTTTTTAATACTAACTTGTCAAAATTACAAAAGAAATGTAGACACATTGAAGAAGATTTTAAAACTACATAAAACTTTAGAAAAGAACATTTAAAACTATCCATCCAGTGTCATTATTCCTATGTGTATTATTTTATGCAATGGAAACCACTTTGTGAATACAATTTATATATTTTTAGCTTGACATTTTATAGTTAGAGGTTTTCATATCTTTAAAAATTATTCATAAACATTTTTACTAGCTGCATAATAGTCCATCTGATGACATGACGTAATTTAACTATTGCCATATTTCTTTTTTTAAGATTTTCCAGTTATAAATAATGCTATTAAATATATTTGTTCAATGATCTTCCCCAGTGTTGTATTATCTTTACCTAGGAAGACTTTCTGAAAGCAAAATTACTAAACCAAGTGGTAAAAACATTTTTGAGGCATTTGGCACATGATATTAAATTGCTCTGCAGAAAGATTCTTCCAATCCATATCCGCACCAGCAATATATGAAAACACTTCATTTCAATGCCACTCTTCTGGCATTGGATTTTCTCATTTAACAAAAAATTTTAAACTAAATCTAAAGTAAAATGGAGTAGTTTTTCCCAAAACACTATATTTTTTCAGATTTTTCAAAATTAGTGACAAAAAAATGAGTATCTAAGAGAAAGCCCCATAGAAACCCCACCCTGGCTTCCACACACAGATAACCACGCAGGTACGAACACTGCGGGAAAGGACCTTCATTTTACTGGCTCCAAAACTTGTCAATATCGGGGGCCTTGCCAACACCACAGGAGCACTCACTTCTATAAAACTAGGGGCTAGTAAGATGCAGGTCCTTTTCCCCAGCGTTCATACCTGCATGGTTATCTGTGTGTGGAACCAATACCTGGTGCGATCATTCAGAGAAAGAAAACAGAAACAAGATCTAAATCATGCTATTTCAGCATTGACCTCAATATAAGAAATATTTATTCTGTAAAGACACTCTTGAGTCATGAAATTAATTGATAAATTAATTTGTAGAGATTTCCAGTCTCTCATTATTTAAAAGGAAGGAACACGTTAACCAAGATACTCTGTTAATCTGCCTGTAACTGTCCACTTGGGACTAATGGGGGCCTTGCCAACAGCACAGAAGCACCCACTTCTATAAAACTAGGAGCTGATAAAATAACAGTGGCTAACATTTACTGAAGTTTTCCAAGACTCCAGACACTTTACTCAGCAATATCTCATTTAACCCATACAGTAACCCTATTAGCTTAGCATAGGAAGCTGTGATAAATTCAATTTCCTTAGGTGAGGAAATTGAGCTAGTTTGCCGAAGGCCAAGGAGGCTGTATGACTTAAGAACCAGAGCCCTTGTCACTGCTCCTTCAGTCTCCTAGGTCTTTACCTGACAGCCAGTCAGAAAGTAAGCTAAAAAGCCTCTGTGCTTCTGAGCTACACACTGAGAGGGTTCAAGCACACCCTTATTAGTTTCAAGGTGGATATGCAAGTTAGAAGCTGTCTTTTATTTTAAAAGTCTGCAGGGTAATAAGAGAGCCACAGTAAAGGGAGGGTGAATAGGGGCATTTGGTCTGGGAACAGAAGACCTAGGGGAGACTGAGAGATGGCAAGGAAGGATTTGTTCTACGCTGCCTATGAAGACAGAATCTGGTCTAATAGATGAAGTTTCAGGCAAGACATTTCAGTTCAATATATTTGAACTGGTTTCTAATTACATTTTAAACTTTAAAGAACTATATAATTAGAAGTTTTTGTTATTAACAAGAACTTCTTAACAATGAGGCAGCCTCTCTCCTAAGGTAATGAATAAAAATTAATTTCTGATAATTCTTTTGAGAAAGATCTACCTTCACACACTTGGTCTGTATGTGTCTGGAAGGGAATGCCAGTCATGGAAAGTAACCCATATTAATTAATCCCTGTCACTGCCCAGCCTCCACCAATTGGTGCCGAACCACTATACCCAATAACTACTTCCCCCCACATCCTCCTGACCATGATTCTCATCCAAATGGGCATCAGTCATAGCGAGCTGACACCAGGAGAGATTGTGCCCCACTCCCATACACCCTAGATACATCTTAGGATTTACATTTTTTTCCTTTTATTATAAACCATTTTATACATACAGGAAAAATATAACAAACCTTCTTATGACCTACTAACAAGTTCTATCAATTCTTATTTTGAAATATTTTAAAAGAAATAAAACATTACTGATACAGTTAAAGCCGTCTGTGAATCTCTTCTTAATCTCCTCCCTCCCTCCCTGAAATTAAACAGCATCTTGAATTTGGTAGTCATCATCCCTTGCATGTGTGACAACATATACGTTTTCATTTATATTCATAGAGATGAATATATCTGTATGTTTCCTAAGGCTGCCATAACAAAGAACCACAAATTTGGTGGTTCAAAACAACAGAAATTTATTCTCTTGCAGTTCTAGAGGCTACAAGTCAACAAATTGCTTATCCATTCTCTGCTATTTCATTAGTACAAAAAGTACTGCAAAAAATTTTGTGCATTTTGCTTGTGCACCTGTGTGAAAGTTTGAAGTCAGGGTATTGGCAGAACCATGCTCCCTCTGAAGGATCTAGGGGAGGATCTTTTCTTACCCCTTCCAGTTTCGGGTAGCCTCCAGTGTTTCTTGGCTTGTAGCAGCATGACACCAATTTCTGCCTCTATTATCAAATGGCATTCTCCCTGTGTTTTTCTGTCTTCTCTTTGTATAAGAACACCAGGCATATTGGGTTAGGACCCACCCTAATGACCTCATCTTAACTTAACTAATTATATCTGAAACAATCCTACTTCTAAATAAGGTCACATTCTGAGGACAGAAGTCAGGATTTCAACAAATCTTTTGGGAAGACACAATTCAACCCACAGCAATATCTGTGAACAATTCCTAGAATTGATTGGATGTTTTAAAATTTGTATAAATGGTATCATTCTGCAACTGGCTTCTTTTTTCATTTATGAATTTGAGAGAAATCTATATCGTTACTTGTAACTGTTGTTTGTTCATTTAAATAAAAGTATGGTATTCCATTTTGTAATCTTACCACAATTACTTATCCATTCTTCTTTTATGGGCATTTGTTGCTTTTGTTATTTGTTAGTGCAAAAAGTACTGCAAGAAACTTTGTACATTTTGCTCATGCACTGTGTGAAAATTTGTCTAGGGTGTAACACAGGAATGTGGTAATGGATTTGCAGGGCTTGTGCATCTTCAGTCTTTAGAAGATACTGCCAATTGCTCTTTAAAAGTAGTAGTAACAAATTAGGGACGTGGATGAAACTGGAAGCCATCATTTTCAGCAAACTAACACAGGAACTGAAAACCAAACACCACATGTTCTCACTCATAAGTGGGAGTTGAACAATGAGAACATATGGACACAGGGAAGGGAACATCAGACACCGGGGCCTGTCAGGGGCTGGGGGCAAGGCAAGGGAGAGCATTAGGACAAATGCCTACTGCATGCGGGGCTTAAAACCTAGATGATGGGCTGATAGGTGCAGCAAACCACCATGGCACATGTATACCTATGTAACAAACCTGCACGTTCTGCATATGTATCCCAGAACTTAAAGTAAAATGTTTAAAAAGTAGTAACAAATTAAAGAATCATCAGCTCTGTTCTAGAGTTCACACTGCTCTATTGCTAGTACTTAATATGAGTAGATTCTTTCATTTTTTACCTATACAGTTAGTGCTTTAAATTGCATTTTTCTAATTACTAGTGGGTTGAATAATGATGCATATTTAGTAGCCATTAAGCTTTCCTCTTCTCTGAGTTGCCTGTTACATTCTTACGTCAGTTTGTTTTTCCTTGCTGATTTGTTGGGATGTTTAATAGCCTTTGATCCTGACTAGTTACAAGTTTTTTAACTGTCCCTTAACGTGTGTTGTCTTTGCACTTTGTTTATAATCTTTGCTTTTGCTTTTAAAAAACTTTTATATAATCAAATTTATGAATCTTCCTCTTCATGATTTGTGTATTTAATATATGGTTTTGTAAGTACAATTTTCTCCTATATTTCCTTTGTTTAACTTTTAACTTTGAAATAATTCAAACAGAAAAGTTACAAGTCCTGGGTACTCTTTATCCAGATTCATCAATTAGCAATATGTGGTCACATTTGCTTCATTATTCTCTCTCTTTGTATATGTATATAATTATTATATTATTTATTAATAAATCATATGTTATATATTATATAATATCATATATAATAAAAATTGAAATATAATTATATACATAAGTATAATTTAAATTACATAATTATATTAATCCCTATATATTATTTTTATTTTTATACATTATTGTTAAAATGTTTTTCTAAATCGTTTGGAAGAAAGTCACAGACATCATGCCTCTTTAGTATTTCAGTATGAGTATTCTAAGAACTAAGACATTCACTCACATAACCATCGTATAATTATTAAAATCAGGAATGTTAACACTGATGTAGAACAATTATCTATGGATCATATTCAAGTTTTTCTAATGTCATTTTTTTAAGTATTCTTGATACAGGATTCAGTTCAGGATAATACATTACATTTAACTTTATGTCTGTTTAGTTTCCAATCTTTGGCCTATTTCATGAAGCCAGGGACTTTCCCTGAGCTCCACAGGTACATGTGCAGAGAGACTTAAACTCCAACCTATACTTACCCCTTCCTCATTTTAATGCTAAAAATCATGCCCGGGATGGAGATTTAAAATGGTAATGCTACATCCAATGTACGAAGAAACACGTTGAGCCACTGTGCAAGTGCTAGAAAAAACCCTCCTATACACGCCCTGGCATAACCCTTCCCTATATAAAGACCTTAGAAAACTAACCCACACTCTACCCTCTGGGAGCAGCCCGTTTCTTTTTCTCAGTGCTGGATATTTTGTGCATAACCTGAAATAAACTTTCCTTTGCTGCTGTGTTTGGTGATCTCTCTTGACTTTTATATTGGGAAATTACAAGAACCCAGGGAAAGAATCACACTTTGAATTTCTTTGGAATTTTTTCAGGTGTTAATCTAATTTTTTCTTTTAATTTAAAGTAGCGTCAAAATTTCTATCAGGATACAAACATATTGCATTATGCTCTTTAACCCCACATTCTGTTCCATCTCAGCTTCATTTCTCAGTTCTTTTTACAGTAAATTCTTCAAAAAGTTGTCTATATTGCTTGTCTCCATTAGTTCTTTTCAGAGATTCTCTTGAATCCATTCCAATCAGGCTTTTATTTTAACACTCCATTTAAATTTCCTTTGTCAATATTACCATTAATCTCTACCTGGCCAAATAAATTTGGAGGCCTCAACTTAACATCTCAGCAGCATTTGACACTTGTATCACTCGGTTTCTGAGACACCATATTCTCTTGGTTTCCCTCCTTTATCACTGACTCCTTCTTCTTATTCTCCTTGGCTGAGTCCCTTCCCTTTTGCATTACATTATGGGAAGCTGCAGAGGTAGTCCTCATCACTCTCTACTTTCACACCATCCATAGATAGGTTCAGCCCATCTCCTGGCTTTAACAACCAGCTCTGTGCTGATGACTCCCAGATGTATATCTCCAGCCTTCATCCTTGACTTTAGACTTGTATATCCACCATCCTACTTGACATCATTGCTAATATGCTTAATAGGAACTTACACATAAAGTGGAGAAAACAATCCCTTAACGTCTTAACATTACCTCCCAGCAAGCTTTCTGATTTCAGGAAATGATATTATTATTCCTCAAACTTTAGCATTCTTCTTGACTCCACTCTTTTTTGTTCACACTCCACATAGCACGTGTTAGGAAATTCTGTTTACTCTACTTCAAAACTTATCTGTAGTATGAATAAATAAGGAAAGGTAATGCCCCTAGATGTGCCATGTTTAATTTTAGGTCTCATGGATTCATAATGTACATACTCCTGTTTCAAAAGCATGGCTTTAAGATAATCTTGCACAAGGAGCAATTAAAGTATAGAAATTGCAGAATAATTAAGACATATATGTACTTATGTTTTTGAGTATCAAATAACAGCATAACAAAAGTATACCATCACATGGCTACCATTTAAAAAAGAAAAAAACACCTCTTGGTTCTGCTTTCCATATTTTCCAATTTTGCTATTGTAAGTATGAGCATCATGATACCTGCCACAACTCAGGTGAGTATTGTCTAGAAGAAAACATTTAAAAATCAATTTGTCTTTTTCTAATTTCTCTTTACATAAGGTGAGCATAGTGCCTTTATTAGTAGGCCATTCTTCTCATAAGGGTGGTGCTATGGTTTGAATGTTTGTGTCCCTTTCAAACTTTACATTGAAACCTAATCCCAAATGCAATCATTTTAAGAGGTAAGGTGTTTAGGAGATGATTGGTCATGATAATCCCTTATGAATGGGATTAAGGCCCTAAGGGCCCAAACAAGCTTTACACAGTGTTCAGTCCTTTTGCCCTTCTGCCATTCCACCATGTGACGATGCAGTGTTCATCCTTTCCAGAAGAGGCAGCAGCAAAGTGTTATCTTAGAAGTAGCGAGACCAGGCCTTCACCAGACACTGAACCCACCGATGTCTTCATCTTGGGCTCCTCAGTCTCCAGAATTGCAAAGAAATAAATTTGTTCTTTATAAATCACCCAGCCTGTAGTATTTTGTCATAGCAGCATGAAGGGGTAAAAACAGGTAGCAAACTGAGTTAAAAGAAGAGCATGCTTTTCTTCTCAACTGTGCATTTCTTATAGAAATCCTAAATAGCATCAAAGATCCTTAACTTAATAGGACAGATAAGCATAATTTTCAATTAGTATAATATCCCATAAACGATAGAAGTAGATGATATATAATTTAGAGTAAGATTTGAGGAAATTAAATATCTAATGTCAATCAGCACTCTGACTCCCCAATCCTCCTTTTCTCCTTTCTTCTCTTGGCAAAGGGAAGCAAATCTTTGGCTCTTTCCTTTGCCTGCTTCTCCAGCAACTATGTTATTTTTTACTTTGAAAGCTGAAGTTTTTGGAGGTTTCTTTCCAGTGGTAGCTATCTGCAGACTTGATCTCTCACTTGTCAGCCATAGGAGTAATTTCCAAAACACTACATCTTAGTCCATATGTGCTGCTGTAACAAAATACTACGCAGACTGGGTCATTTATAAATAATAGAAATTTATTTCCAACAGTTCTGGAGGCTGGGAAGTCGAAGATGAAGAACCAGCAGGTTCAGTGTCTGAAAGGCTTTTTCTCACAGATGGCACTGTCTAGGGGTCCTCACATGACAGAGGGGGTAAAAGGGATGACAGGCAGCTCTCTGAAGCCTCTTTTATAAGGGGATGAATCCCATCCATGAGGAAAGAGCCCTCATGATCTAACAACCTCCAAAGGGTCCCACCTCTGAATACTATCACCTTGGGGGTTAAGTTCCAACATACAAATTTTGGAGGGATGCATATACATTCAAACCATAGCAGGCTGATTGTTTTCTTCTTTTCAGAATTCATTTTTGGCTTTTCACACAACCTATAGATTTCAAAAGGCTAAAAAGTAATACATATTTGCCTCATGAAACCTCAAGATTCGCTTTCAAATGAGATTCAGCTCCAAACATGAATGTGAGAAGAGGACAGGTGTACCAACAACAGTTCCTTCTAGTACCTTATGCTTTTGCTCCATGTAGGTAAGCAACCCGCACAGGGAGCAAAAAGGGCCCCCAACTCACCTAAGCGAGTCACAGCATGATTCCTGAAGAAAAGGCCCAAGCCAAACTCTGAAGTAATCCGAGACAGAAAACTGGGCCTGGGTCTCGGCAGGGCTCAGGCAGACAGGTTTCAGGCGGAGTGGAAGAAGTGGATAAAATCATGGAAAAGGGCAGTCTGTGCAGAGAAAAAACATGGATCATGCAGTTAAATTCAAATACAGTGCAACAGTGCTGAGGCATGGGAATACAGCAATTGAACCCAAGAGCCTCGTTCACCATGTTAGGAGTGTATTAGTTGCTAATACAAAGTACCCATTGCTGTAACAAACTACCACTAAGGTGGCTTAAAAAAACAAATGTGTTCTCTCACAGTCTGGTGGCCAGAGTCTGGAATCACGATGTTCACAGGGTTAATTCCTCCTGGGGCATCTGAGGGAAGCCAGTTCAGGCCTCTCCTAGCAACTAGTGGCTGCCAGCAATCCTTGGCACTCCTTGGCTTGTGGACACACAACTCCAGTCTCTGCCTCCGTCTTCACACTGCCTCCTCTGTATGTCTTCTCCCCTTCTATTCTCTCATAAGGTCACTTGTCATGACATTTAGGACCTATCCTAATTCAGAACAATCTCATTCAAAGATCCTTAACTTAATTAAGACCCATTTTCCAAGTAAGGTCACATTGATAATTTCCAGGTGAACATACCTTTGGTAGGGGATTGGGTCATCATTCACCCCACCACAGAGACCTCAGGCATTGACCCACAGGCAATGGGGAGCTTCTCAGACTTTAAACAAGAAGAGATAATGTCAGATTTCTATCATAATGTCTCAGCAAGGGCTATGATAGTAAGAATGGAAAGAAAGAATTGGATTGAGAAATATTTAGGATTTATGCTCAGTAGGACTTCACTGCTTAGATGTGGGGGTTAAAGAAAAGGATGGCATATGATGCTTCTCACATTTCTAGCTTGGACAAGTTTGATGATCATGAAAAGACAACCAGAAGAGAGAAGTGCTTGGGAAGACATGATTCTTCATGTTGATTTTGATGGTCTTTTGAGTACCCTAGTGGAAAGATCCAATAGGATGAGCTAGAGATAATAATTTGGAGGTCATCCCTGAATAAGTGAAGATAAAACCTTATGAGTTTTCAATAGTAATCGCTGAGGATTTAAAGTACAAAATTTAGCCCAAGAAAGAGCTGGAAAATGTAAGCAAAGTTCCCAAAGAGACAGAGTTCAAGTAAGAGAGGCCTGGAATACCTGTCAGGAAACCAGACCAGATCACAGACCTATGAATGGACCGGAATAGTGGGCATTAGAGAATGGCCACAGCCCTGTTAGTTTGGAGTGGCTAGGCTGCTCCCAACACACCAGACATGGGGAGTATAGGCAGCACAACAGCATATATGCTCAATTTGCTCACAGAGCAAAGTGCAGGCCCGGACTGAGCCAATGCTAAGGGTTAGAAAGTCTCTATGCTTAGAGTTTCAGCATTATTGGCATAAAACTACACACTAAGATACGGCATTGCTCATCATGCTATCTATACCAACTGGTGGCTGGGGATGTGTCTCATGGTTACTAGCTTAGAAAATATTCTCTTTCATTTATAAAATACTTTATGAGCACTCATGATGTAGAAGTTACAGGGCTAGACATTGGAATAGAACAGTGATTAAAAGACACACAGTACCAGCACTTTCATTAGAAAAGATAGACATCAATTAAGTACAGGCATACCTAAAGATTTTGTGGGTGGGTTCAGCTCTAGGCCATTACAATAAAGTGAATATCATAATAAAACAAGTCGCACCAAATTTTTGGTTTCCCAGTGCATATAAAAATTATGTTTATGCTATATTGTAGTCTACTAAGTGTGCAATAGCATTATGTCCCAAAAAAAAGTATACACCTTAATTTACAATACTTTATTGCTAAAAAATGCTAACAATCATCCAAGCCTTTGGCAAGCTATAATCTTTTTGACAGTGAAGGACCTTGACTCAAAGTTGATGGCTGCTGACTGCTCGGGGTGGTGGCTGCTGACAGTTAGGGTGGCTATGGTGATTTCTTAAAATAAGACAAGAATGAAGTTTGACTTTTCCTTTCACACAAAAGATTATCTGTAGCATGCAATGCTCTTTGATAGCATTTTATCCAAAGTAGAACTGCTTTATAAATTGGAGTCAATGCTCTCAAACTCTCCTGCTGCTGTATCAACTAAGTTTATGTAATGTTCTAAGTCCTTTGTTGTCAGTTCAACAATTTTTACAGCATCTTCAACAGGAGTAGATTCTATCTCAAGAAACCACTTTCTTTGCTCACCCATTAGAAGCAACATCACATATGCTTAAGTTTGATCATGAGATTGCAGCAATTCAGTCACATCTTCAGGCCATACTTCTAATTTTACCTCTTGCTGTTTCCATCACATCTGCAGTTACTTCCTCCAGTAAAGTTTTGAACCCTTAAAGTCATCTATAAGGGTTGGAATCAACTTCTTCCAAACTCTAGTTAATGTAAATATTTTGACCTTCTCCCAAGAATCACAAAAGTTCTTAATGGAACCTGGAATGGTTAATCCTTTCCAGAAGTTTTCCAATTTGCTTTGCCCAGATTTATCAGAGGAATAACTATCTGTGACAGCTATTGTCTTACTAAATGTATTTCTTAAATAATAAGACTTGAAAGTTGAAATTACTCCTGATCATGAGGTGCAGAATGGATGTTGTGTTAGCAGGCAGGAAAACAGCATGAATCTCCTTGTACATCTCCACTGGAGCTCTTAGGTGAGCAGGTACATTTTGGATGAGCAGTAATATTTTGAAAGGAAATTTTTTTCTGAGCAGTAGGTCTCAACAGTGGCTTAAAATATTCAGTAAACCATGCTGTAAACAGATATGCTGTCATCCAGGCTTTGTTGTTCCATTTATAGAGAACAGGCATAGTAGATTTAGTATGATTAAAGGTTCCAGGATTTTTGTAATGGTCAGTGAGCATTAGCTTCAACTTAAAGTTACCAGCTGCATGAGCCCCTAACAAGAAAGTCAGCCTGTTTTTTGAAGCTTTGAAGCCAGGCGTTGACTTCTCTCTAGCTATGAAAATTCTTGATGGCATTTTCTTCAAATATAAGGCTGTTTCATCTACATTGAAAATCTATTGTTTAGTATAGCCACTATCATCAGTTATCTTAGCAAGATTTTCTGAATTACTTGCTGCAGCTTCTATATTGGCACTTGCTGCTTCACCTTGCGCTTTTATGTTATGGGATGGCTTCTTTCCTTAAACTTCATGAACTAACTTCTGCCGGCTTCCAACTTTATTTTTGCAGCTTCCCCAACTCTCTCCTCCTTCATAAGAGTAAAGAGAGTTAAGGCCTTGTTTTGAATTAGGCTTTGGCTTAAGGGAATGTTTGGATGGTTTGATCTTCTATCCGGACCACTCAAACTTTCTTCATATCAGCAGTAACGATGTTTTGCTTTCTTATCATTATGTGTTCACTGGAGTAGGACATTTAATTTCCTTCAAGAACTTTTCCTTTGCATTCATAGCTTGACTAACTGTCTGACACAAGAGGCCTAGCTTTGGTCTATCTTGGCTTTCCACATGCCTTCTTCACTAAACTTAGTCATTTCTAGCTTTTGATTTAAGGTGAAATAAGTGTGACTCTTCCTCTTACTTGAACACTTAGAGGTCATGGTAGTGTTATTAACTGGCCTAATTTCAATGTTTTTGTGTCTCAGGGAGTACGTAGGCTCGATGAGAGAGAGAGATAGGAGACCAGCTGGTCAGTGGAGCAGTAAGAACACCTACCACATTTATCCATTAAGTTCACTGTCTCTTAAGAGCATGGCTCATGGTGCCCCAAAATAATTACAATAATGACATCAATGATCACTGATCATAGATCACCATAAAAAAATACAGTAATAATGAAAAGCTTGAAATACTTTAAGAATTACCAAAATGTGGTAAGGAGACATGAAATAAGCACATGCTGATAGAAAAATGGTGCCTTGCTTGATGTAGGATTGCCACAAACCTTCACTTTGTAAAAAGCACAGTATCTGCAAAGTTTAATAAAACAAGTTTGCTTATAATTATTCAATTAATTTTTTTTTTCTTTTTGAGACAGAGTCTCACTCTGTCACCCAGGCTGGAGTTCAGTGGCACAATCTTGGCTCACTGCAACCTCTGCCTTCCAGATTCAATTTTTGATAATATCTCTTTTTAAATTTTGGAGCTTACAAGAGAGTTCTTGGATGAGGATATAAATTTGGGATTCATCAAGTTTTACAGGGTGAAGGTTTTGGGAGTAAATCCTAAGTAGAATATAAAATAAAAAAATAAGAGGGACTAGGACAAGGTTTAACAAATCCTAACCTTTAAAAATCTGGTACAGAAGGATAAATTAGAGAGCAAGAAGAACCGGTCAGAGAAGTAGAAGAAAACTTTAAAAACTTATTTAAACTAAATAGATTTCTCTATACTTATATCCTGATTATTCCTTGCTAACAAAGCTCAACTTGGTTTGAGGTAGCCATGTTTCCAGTCCCACGTGAGATAGTCACTTTCTCAATCCCCACTGTATGTAGAAGTGGCCAGGTGACATAGTTCTGGCCAATGACAGTGACACTTCCTACAGATTTTCTGAAAAGCTTTTTGTATCCTGGTTTTTAAAAACAGAGAAGGGGATGTCAGATGCAGCTGCCGCTATTCTTTGTCCTCCCCTTTTCTTCCTGCCTTGAAGACAAACCAGCTCTCTGGATTTTCAACAACTATCTTGCTACCATGAAGCAACATGCATGAAGATAAAAGTGAACTCTCTAAAGATAGGAAGGTTGGAATATGTAACCAACGCAATTATTTAGCAACACAACCAATGCCAACAGCTACCCACATCCAGATTTCTTGTTAGATGAGAAAACTAAAGTTACTTTTGTTTTAGCCATTGTAATGAGATTTTGCATACTTGCAATTGAACATATTTCTGATTAGTAAAACTTCCATCTTAAACATAAATTTAAAATAGTTTCTTCACCATATATTTAATTGTACTTGATTTGGGGAAAGTAGAAAAAAAAAAGCTATGTAATTCTGAAATTCTTTTAAAATATATTGCCCAGTTCATAAGAAAGAATAAAAGAATAGCAGAAAACAACAAACACAACTCTCTTGTTTTCATTTGATTTTTTTTTTTTTTTGAGATGGAGACCTGCTTTGTCACCTAGGCTGGAGTATAGTGGCGCGATCTTGGCTCACTGCAAGCTCCGCCTCCCGGGTTCACACCACTTTCCTGCCTCAGCCCCCCAAGTAGCTGGGACTACAGGCGCCCACCACCACACCTGGCTAATTTTTTTTTTTTTGTATTTTTAGTAGAGATGGGGTTTCACCGAGTTAGCCAGGATGGTCTCGATCTCCTAACCTCACGATCCGCCTGCCTTGGCCTCCCCAAAGTGCTGAATTTTTTGATAATAAAAAGGAAAACTAAATTTTTTGGTTTTGCTATCTAATTCATTGTGTTCAAAACCTAGCCTCTTTTCAGTAATCAGATGTACACTGTCAGTAGGACTGAATCTAAAGAACAGTTTTCTATGTTTTGTGGCAATTGGAATAAATGAGGAGGCTGCATCTGAAAAAGAGCAGTGAGTCCTCCTTACCTATAGCTGGTAGAAATTGCGCATGCCTGACCAGAGGCATGAGATCCTGGTAGAAACATAGTAGAAGCCTACGATTTTCTGACCAGACTCAACAGACCAAAGACACTTAAAGTCAAAGACTTTTACATCTGTGATACTTTTGTCAAAACTACTCTCTGCCCTGTCCCCTAAAACTTTCCTTAGGAATGTTGCAATCATTACTGTTTAAGACACAGACTCTTATCTGACCCTTTTCTTTAACCAGAATTTTTAAATAAGTTGTTATGATTTCTCAGGCACGTGATGACTTTGAAGATAAAATGTCAAATAAGACTATGAGTCATAATTTAAAAACCAATGATAGAGAAACAAATCAAATAAAAATAAACTCTAAAGTTAAATAGAACATAAAACCTGTGCCCAAGGACCTTCTTGGGGAAAACAGACAAAAGATATCCATAATTATAGTTTAATGTAACAAAAGATGTGACAGAAATATGTGTGCACTAGAACAGTGGTTCTCAAACATTGCCTCCCATTAGAATCCCCTAGGAAATTTTCTAAACTCTTAATTCCCAAGTTACACTAAGAGGCTGTCTAAGGATGCAACCCAAGCATTAGCATTATTTAATATTCCCCAGATGATTCCAATATGCACCCAAGTTTCAGAATCACTGCACTAGTGGCAATCCCAGCAAAGTCAGGATCAAGATTAAGAGGTATTCTATCAATGTTATTATATAAAATTAATATGAAATTTGTGTCTAATGTAAAAAGGGAGAAATATTACAAATCATTTAGAACTGATATCACTGCCAACTATAAAAGTAAACAGAACTGATAAACTATTAAAACTAATATGACTGCTTACCTAAGTAGCCAAATGCCAAGTATTGGAGAAATTGGAACCCTCCTACACTGCTAGTGGATATGTAACATGGTACAGCTGCTTTGGAAAACAGTTTGACAGTTCCTCTGGTAGTTAAACATAGAGCTACCATATGATCCAGCAATTCCACTCCTAGATATATACCCAAAAGAAAACATATGTCTGCACAAAAATTTGTCCTTGAGTATTCACAGCAGCATTATTCATAATAGCCAAAAAGTGGAAATGACCCAAATGTGCATCAACTGATGAATGGATAAACAAAATGTGGTATAGACATACAATGGAGTATTTTTTTTTCTTTTTTTTTTAATTATACTTTAAGTTTTAGGGTACATGTGCACATTGTGCAGGTTAGTTACATATGTATACATGTGCCATGCTGGTGCGCTGCACCCACTAACTCGTCATCTAGCATTAGGTATATCTCCCAGTGCTATCCCTCCCCCTCCCCCCACCCCACCACAGTCCCCAGAGTGTGATATTCCCCTTCCTGTGTCCATGTGATCTCATTGTTCAATTCCCACCTATGAGTGAGAATATGCGGTGTTTGGTTTTTTGTTCTTGCGATAGTTTACTGAGAATGATGATTTCCAATTTCATCCATGTCCCTACAAAGGACATGAACTCATCATTTTTTATGGCTGCATAGTATTCCATGGTGTATATGTGCCACATTTTCTTAATCCAGTCTATCATTGTTGGACATTTGGGTTGGTTCCAAGTCTTTGCTATTGTGAATAATGCTGCAATAAACATACGTGTGCATGTGTCTTTATAGCAGCATGATTTATAGTCATTTGGGTATATACCCAGTAATGGGATGGCTGGGTCAAATGGTATTTCTAATTCTAGATCCCTGAGGAATCGCCACACTGACTTCCACAATGGTTGAACTAGTTTACAGTCCCACCAACAGTGTAAAAGTGTTCCTATTTCTCCACATCCTCTCCAGCACCTGTTCTTTCCTGACTTTTTAATGATTGCCATTCTAACTGGTGTGAGATGCTATCTCATTGTGGTTTTGATTTGCATTTCTCTGATGGCCAGTGATGATGAGCATTTTTTCATGTGTTTTTTGGCTGCATAAATGTCTAATTTTGAGAAGTATCTGTTCATGTCCTTCGCCCACTTTTTGATGGGGTTGTTTTTTTCTTGTAAATTTGTTTGAGTTCATTGTAGATTCTGGATATTAGCCCTTTGTCAGATGAGTAGGTTGCGAAAATTTTCTCCCATTTTGTAGGTTGCCTGTTCACTCTGATGGTAGTTTCTTTTGCTGTGCAGAAGCTCTTTAGTTTAATTAGATCCCATTTGTCAATTTTGGCTTTTGTTGCCATTGCTTTTGGTGTTTTAGACATGAAGTCCTTGCCCATGCCTATGTCCTGAATGGTCATGCCTAGGTTTTCTTCTAGGGTTTTTATGGTTTTAGGTCTAACGTTTAAATCTTTAATCCATCTTGAATTGATTTTTGTCTAAGGTGTAAGGAAGGGATCCAGTTTCAGCTTCCTACATATGGCTAGCCAGTTTTCCCAGCACCATTTATTAAATAGGGAATCCTTTCCCCATTGCTGGTTTTTCTCAGGTTTGTCAAAGATCAGATAGTTGTAGGTAGGCGGCGTTATTTCTGAGGGCTCTGTTCTGTTCCATTGATCTATATCTCTGTTTTGGTACCAGTACCATGCTGTTTTGGTTACTGTAGCCTTGTAGTATAGTCTGAAGTCAGGTAGTGTGATGCCTCCAGCTTTGTTCTTTTGGCTTAGGATTGACGTGGCAATGCGGGCTCTTTTTTGGTTCCATATGAACTTTAAAGTAGTTTTTTCCAATTCTGTGAAGAAAGTCATTGGTAGCTTGATGGGGATGGCACTGAATCTGTAAATTACCTTGGGCAGTATGGCCATTTTCACGATATTGATTCTTCCTACCCATGAGCATGAAATGTTCTTCCATTTGTTTGTATCCTCTTTTATTTCCTTGAGCAGTGGTTTGTAGTTCTCCTTGAAGAGGTCCTTCACATCCCTTGTAAGTTGGATTCCTAGGTATTTTATTCTCTTTGAAGCAATTGTGAATGGGAGTTCACTCATGATTTGGCTCTCTGTCTGTTGTTGGTGTATAAGAATGCTTGTGATTTTTGTATATTGATTTTGTATCCTGAGACTTTGCTGAAGTTGCTTATCAGCTTAAGGAGATTTTGGGCTGAGACAATGGGGTTTTCTAGATATACAATCATGTCGTCTGCAAACAGGGACAATTTGACTTCCTCTTTTCCTAATTGGATACCCTTTATTTCCTTCTCTTGCCTAATTGCCCTGGCCAGAACTTCCAACACTATGTTGAATAGGAGTGGTGAGAGAGGGCATCCCTGTCTTCTGCCAGTTTTCAAAGGGAATGCTTCCAGTTTTTGCCCATTCAGTATGATATTGGCTGTGGGTCTGTCATAGATAGCTCTTATTATTTTGAAATACGTCCCATCAATACCTAATTTCTTGAGAGTTTTTAGCATGAAGGGTTGTTGAATTTTGTCAAAGGCTTTTTCTGCATCTATTGAGATAATCATGTGGTTTTTGTCTTTGGTTCTGTTTATATGCTGGATTACATTTATTGATTTGCCTATATTGAACCAGCCTTGCATCCCAGGGATGAAGCCCACTTGATCATGGTGGATAAGCTTTTTGATGTGCTGCTGGATTCGGTTTGCCAGTATTTTATTGAGGATTTTTGCATCAATGTTCATCAAGGATATTGGTCTAAAATTCTCTTTTTTGGTTGTGTCTCTGCCCGGCTTTGGTATCAGAATGATGCTGGCCTCATAAAATGAGTTAGGGAGGATTCCCTCTTTTTCTATTGATTGGAATAGTTTCAGAAGGAATGGTACCAGTTCTTCCTTGTACCTCTGGTAGAATTCGGCTGTGAATCCATCTGGTCCTGGACTCTTTTTGGTTGGTAAACTATTGATTATTGCCACAATTTCAGCTCCTGTTATTGGTCTATTCAGAGATTCAACTTCTTCCTGGTTTAGTCTTGGGAGAGTGTATGTGTCGAGGAATGTATCCATTTCTTCTAGATTTTCTAGTTTATTTGCGTAGAGGTGTTTGTAGTATTCTCTGATGGTAGTTTGTATTTCTGTGGGATCGGTGGTGATATCCCCTTTATCATTTTTTATTGTGTCTATTTGATTCTTCTCTCTTTTTTTCTTTATTAGTCTTGCTAGCGGTCTATCAATTTTGTTGATCCTTTCAAAAAACCAGCTGCTGGATTCATTGATTTTTTGAAGGGTTTTTTGTGTCTCTATTTCCTTCAGTTCTGCTCTGATTTTAGTTATTTCTTGCCTTCTGCTAGCTTTTGAATGTGTTTGCTCTTGCTTTTCTAGTTCTTTTAATTGTGATGTTAGGGTGTCAATTTTGGATCTTTCCTGCTTTCTCTTGTGGGCATTTAGTGCTATAAATTTCCCTCTACACACTGCTTTGAATGCGTCCCAGAGATTCTGGTATGTTGTGTCTTTGTTCTCGTTGGTTTCAAAGAACATCTTTATTTCTGCCTTCATTTCGTTATGTACCCAGTAGTCATTCAGGAGCAGGTTGTTCAGTTTCCATGTAGTTGAGCGGCTTTGAGTGAGATTCTTAATCCTGAGTTCTAGTTTGATTGCACTGTGGTCTGAGAGATAGTTTGTTATAATTTCTGTTCTTTTACATTTGCTGAGGAGAGCTTTACTTCCAACTATGTGGTCAATTTTGGAATAGGTGTGGTGTGGTGCTGAAAAAAATGTATATTCTGTTGATTTGGGGTGGAGAGTTCTGTAGATGTCTGTTAGGTCCGCTTGGTGCAGAGCTGAGTTCAATTCCTGGGTATCCTTGTTGACTTTCTGTCTCGTTGATCTGTCTAATGTTGACAGTGGGGTGTTAAAGTCTCCCATTATTAATGCGTGGGAGTCTAAGTCTCTTTGTAGGTCACTCAGGACTTGCTTTATGAATCTGGGTGCTCCTGTATTGGGTGCATATATATTTAGGATAGTTAGCTCTTTTTGTTGAATTGATCCCTTTACCATTATGTAATGGCCTTCTTTGTCTGTTTTGATCTTTGTTGGTTTAAAGACTGTTTTATCAGAGACTAGGATTGCAACCCCTGCCTTTTTTTGTTTTCCATTTGCTTGGTAGATCTTCCTCCATCCTTTTATTTTGAGCCTATGTGTGTCTCTGCACGTGAGATGGGTTTCCTGAATACAGCACACTGATGGGTCTTGACTCTTTATCCAACTTGCCAGTCTGTGTCTTTTAATTGGAGAATTTAGTCCATTTACATTTAAAGTTAATATTGTTATGTGTGAATTTGATCCTGGCATTATGATGTTAGCTGGTGATTTTGCTCGTTAGTTGATGCAGTTTCTTCCTAGTCTCGATGGTCTTTACATTTTGGCATGATTTTGCAGCGGCTGGTACTGGTTGTTCCTTTCCATGTTTAGCGCTTCCTTCAGGAGCTCTTTTAGGGCAGGCCTGGTGGTGACAAAATCTCTCAGCATTTGCTTGTCTGTAAAGTATTTTATTTCTCCTTCACTTATGAAGCTTAGTTTGGCTGGATATGAAATTCTGGGTTGAAAATTCTTTTCTTTAAGAATGTTGAATATTGGCCCCCACTCTCTTCTGGCTTGTAGGGTTTCTGCCGAGAGATCCGCTGTTAGTCTGATGGGCTTCCCTTTGAGGGTAACCCGACCTTTCTCTCTGGCTGCCCTTAACATTTTTTCCTTCATTTCAACTTTGGTGAATCTGACAATTATGTGTCTTGGAGTTGCTCTTCTCGAGGAGTATCTTTGTGGCGTTCTCTGTATTTCCTGAATCTGAACGTTGGCCTGCCTTGCTAGATTGGGGAAGTTCTCCTGGATAATATCCTGCAGAGTGTTTTCCAACTTGGTTCCATTCTCCCCATCACTTTCAGGTACACCAATCAGACGTAGATTTGGTCTTTTCACATAGTCCCATATTTCTTGGAGGCTTTGCTCATTTCTTTTTATTCGTTTTTCTCTAAACTTCCCTTCTCGCTTCATTTCATTCATTTCATCTTCCATTGCTGATACCCTTTCTTCCAGTTGATCACATCGGCTCCTGAGGCTTCTGCATTCTTCACGTAGTTCTCGAGCCTTGGTTTTCAGCTCCATCAGCTCCTTTAAGCACTTCTCTGTATTGGTTATTCTAGTTATACATTCTTCTAAATTTTTTTCAAAGTTTTCAACTTCTTTGCCTTTGGTTTGAATGTCCTCCCGTAGCTCAGAGTAATTCGATCGTCTGAAGCCTTCTTCTCTCAGCTCGTCAAAGTCATTCTCCATCCAGCTTTGTTCCGTTGCTGGTGAGGAACTGCGTTCCTTTGGAGGAGGAGAGACGCTCTGCGTTTTAGAGTTTCCAGTTTTTCTGTTCTGTTTTTTCCCCATCTTTGTGGTTTTATCTACTTTTGGTCTTTGATGATAGTGATGTACAGATGGGTCTTCGGTGTGGATGTCCTTTCTGTTTGTTAGTTTTCCTTCTAACAGACAGGACCCTCAGCTGCAGGTCTGTTGGAATACCCTGCCGTGTGACGTGTCAGTGTGCTCCTGCTGGGGGGTGCCTCCCAGTTAGGCTGCTCGGGGGTCAGGGGTCAGGGACCCACTTGAGGAGGCAGTCTGCCGGTTCTCAGATCTCCAGCTGCGTGCTGGGAGAACCACTGCTCTCTTCAAAGCTGTCAGACAGGGACATTTAAGTCTGCAGAGGTTACTGCTGTCTTTTTGTTTGTCTGTGCCCTGCCCCCAGAGGTGGAGCCTACAGTGGCAGGCAGGCCTCCTTGAGCTGTGGTGGACTCCACCCAGTTCAAGCTTCCCGGCTGCTTTTTTTACCTAAGCAAGCTTGGGCAATGGCGGGCGCCCCTGCCCCAGCCTCGCTGCCACCTTGCAGTTTGATCTCAGACTGCTGTGCTAGCAATCAGCGAGACTCCATGGGCGTAGGACCCTCCGAGCCAGGTGTGGGATATAGTCTCGTGGTGCGCCGTTTTTTAAGCCGGTCTGAAAAGCGCAATATTCGGGTGGGAGTGACCCGATTTTCCAGGTGCGTCCGTCACCCCTTTCTTTGACTCGGAAAGGGAACTCCCTGACCCCTTTCGCTTCCCAGGTGAGGCAATGCCTCGCCCTGCTTCGGCTCGCGCACAGTGCGTGCACCCACTGGCCTGCGCCCACTGTCTGGTACTCCCTAGTGAGATGAACCCGGTACCTCAGATGGAAATGCGGAAATCACCCGTCTTCTGCGTTGCTCACGCTGGGAGCTGTAGACTGGAGCTGTTCCTATTCAGCCATCTTGGCTCCTCCACAATGGAGTATTATTAAGTAGTAAAAAGAAGCGAAGCACTCATACATGCTGCAGCATCAATGAACCTTGAAAACATTACACTGAGTGAAAGAAGCCAGTAACAAAGGAAAACATAATTTATGATTCTATTTATATAAAACATCCAGAACAGGCAAATCTATAGAGTCAGAAAGTAGATTATTGATTTGGTTTTCATATATTTATTGTTAGCGTGGAAATATGATAGATTTGTCTATGTTTTATATCCTATGACCTTCCTAAATTTACGCTTACTAGATTTAGGATTTTGGGGGTAGATTTCTTGTAATTTTCAATGTAGATAATCATGTGATCTACAAATAGAGTTTCATTTTTTCTTTTCCTGTTCTTAGTTTATTGCCTTGGCTAGGTGTACCGTGTTGAATAGCAGTAGTGAGAACAGACATCCTTGCCTTATTCGTGATTTAGGGAAAAAGCATTTAGTCATTCATTATTAAGTATGATGTTAGCTGTAGGTTTTCTATAGGCTCCCTTTACAAGTTGAGGAAGTTCCCCCTATTCCTAGTTTTCTGAGAATTTTTATTAGAATGAGTGTTAAATGTTGTCAAATGCTTTTTCTGTATCAAAATACAACACTATTTATAATTACTCAAAATAAAATGAAATAATTACGTGTAAATCTGACAAAATACTGCAGCTTGTATGCTGATGAAAGAAATGAAAGATTGAAATAAATGGATAGATACTGTTCATGGATTAGCAGTTCAACATAGTAAAGACATCAATTATGCCCAACTGATACACAGTTTTAATGCAGTTTCCATCAAAACACCAGCAAGAATTTTGTAGATATAGGTAGAACTATTCTAAAATTCATATGGAAAAGCAAAGGAATTAGAATAGCTAAAATTTTTTGAAAAAGAACAATAAAGTGAGAAGAACCACTCTCTCTGATTTCAGGACTTAATATATAGCTACAATAATCAAGACTGGAGGAAGAGACACATCGATCTGCTAAGTCAGCTTGCTATAAGCACTGTTGAAGAAGGTCTTCAGGAGAATCTGAGACTAAAATTCAAATAAACTTGTTCTACAAACAGTTACAAAATACTATGTTCAGATCCTCCCCAAAATCTATGGATTTCCTCTGCAGAAATACCCTTTTCAGGTGCCTTGAGAGCTTTCATTTCCTGTGCTTTCCTCAACCCTGTCCCCTTTATTCAAAGGCAGTGGTCCTCAAAAAGTGGTATCCAGAGCAGCATCAGCATCGTGGGGAACATTAATACAGAATCTTGGCCTCACTCTAGACTTACTGATTCAGAAACTCTGAAGTTACACCCAGCAATCTGTGTTTTAATGAGCCCTTGGGGTGATTCTAATGCACACTCACATGTAAGAACCACGGGGCTAGAGCCTGATAAGTCTAGAGGCTTCTTCCACCGCACATAAAATAAAACTCTAAAGTACAGTGGTTTCAAACCAGAATTGTTTTTAATATTCATTGTGGAAACAAGCTCTGGCACCGTGGAAACTGGACCCTATTATTCAAGAAGAAATAAAACAAAGCACACACATCACAAAGAAAAATCCACCAAACTATTACCAGTTGTTTTTGACTGGGTGGTAGAATAATTGATGTCTCCACTGAACTTTTCTGTTTCCAAATATTCTATAATAACCTTTTTTTTTGCGACAGGGTCTTCCTCTGTGGCCCAGGCTGGAGTGTAGTGGTGCCATCTTGGCTCACTGCAACCTCTGCCTCCCAGGTTCAAGATTCTCCTGCCCTCAGTCTCCCGAGTAACTGGGACTACAGGCGTGCACCACCACACCCGGCTAATTTTTGTACTTTTAGTAGATATGGGGTTTTGCCATGTTGGCCAGACTGGCCTCGAACTCCTGGCCTCAAGTGTTCCGCCTGCCTCAACCTCCGAAAGAGCTGGGATTACAAGAGTGAGCCACCACGCCCGTCCAACATATTATTTTTAAGTGGACAAGAAACAGACCTCAAAATGGAAGGAAAAATTTGTAGTCCATCAAGTATGAACGTTCAAGAAAAACATACCAAAAATACTCTTCGGCCATTTCAATAGTCCAGTCAAACAACAGTAATAATTTGGCCGATATTTTCTCTTTTAGTCCCTGAAGAGTCTCAGCTTCTTGGCCTTCAAACACATTTACTTGATCATTGGGTGCAGTAGCCATGATTTTAATGAGTCAGTAAAGATTAGGACAGGTCATTTTAGAAGACTAGCAACAAATCTCAGAACCCAGGGATTCTCAATGAGCAGAGAGGCGCCTACTACCTCCCTGATGCAACCTGTCTTAGATAAGGCCCCAAGTCAGCCAAACCCTCACCTTTTCTCAGGACTCTGATAAGACCCAGACCCACAAACTCCCCAGGGTCCTACTCACAGTCTAGCAACATGCCGCACCCCCACCCCAGATTTTTTTTTTCCTAAGCAGACAATGTGGTATTGTGATTAGATATAAACTGAAAGTGTATTTTCTGCCCTTCAGTAATTACACTGCCTTATGGTAGCATTATTCAGTGTGAAGCCTTATTATACCGCAGAATGAAATTCTGTATAATTTTCTTCTCCTCCAATGCACAAATGGAAATCATATTTTGGTCTGAGTTGGGAAGAAAGGCTCAGTTATCACTTGTGAGCGTGGTGTTATTTTCCCCAGAATTAAAAAATCCATCTGGGTGTCCGACCTCGCTCACCCTGCTGCCTCTCCATTCAGCCTTTTGTATGCAGATGAACCTTATCAATTTCCACCGCCTCAAAAGCCCGCACCCAGCTTGGTGCTTCCCCCTGGTCCGCGCGGCTTTAATGGAAATGCATGAGGCTTTTTTTTTTTTCTTTGATGTCTGTGCAATATACGCATGTGGATAAAAACCTGTGCTTTTATTTAGGGGGAGGGGGAGGGGGGTTCAAATCAAAGTTAAACTCTCTACCGTATCGCTCCTCGCTGGCGATTAGCGGAGGAGAGAAAGGAACAGCAAATCCAACACAGAAGCTGTGAAACTGGGGTTATTCAAATTATTGACTAACAAATAAAGGGCATGGGATGTCACATTTGTATTCTAAGGGTTTTCATCCCGCCACAGGCCTCATCAACAACTTAGTGGAGTGCTACTAAATCCCCTGTGTTAACATGCGGGGCTCGGGGGGCTCCGTGTGATTAATGCATTAATTGCAGCTCCCTCAGGCCTGACGCAGGCTGTGTCAATAATTCACTTAAGGCCAGTTGGCCCTTGAGTTACTCTACAGTCTAGTGTAAACAACTCGCAAATAACACCACTCAACCATTTACCCCAATCCGATTGCTGTTTCCCAGGCTATTAGCAACTTCCAATGAATGATTCATCCGCTGGTGACAAAGCCTAGCCGGGAAATTGTCTGAAGCTACTAGGACTACATGAGTAGATCAAAGCAGCCTGGCTTTCACCCAACCTGAAGGCCCACGTGGCTATCCGAGATGTTGCTTTCCCAGGCCAGATCTATCCAGTGCAAAGGAAAAGGTTGTTTGAAAAGAACGCCTAATAATTTGGACAACAACCCCTCCTGCTCATCCAGATAAATCATTCAGAAAGAAGAAACAAAGCACCCAGATTTTCTTTGGCTCTAAGTATGCCACCTACTCGTTACATTTGTGACAGATAAGTTTAATTCTGTTGACCAATATTTTTACATTGTGAAGCTGGTGATGCAATTCACATGAACCCTGAGTTTGGAGGCATGAATAAGATCACCTTCCCTGAATTAGTGAGAACTGGCTGTGTGAATTTGAGCTTAACTGCTCAAACTCAGTTTGCTCTTCTTAGGGATAGAGACAATATTTGTCCTATTTATTTAACCAGATTGTGGTAAGGATTTTAAAGTAATGGTAAATATGTAAACATTTTTTGAAAACATGGAAGAACTAACCTAAATGAGGAGTTAAGGCTCTTACTGATTAATATGCTAAAAACAATATATCTTTAGTTTTTGTAGTACTTTACATTTCTCACACTAATCATGTGTGAGTTTTCTTAGAGAAGGATTTCAAATATACTCAAATATATGGAACAAGGACTAACCCCTTTTAGACCTGAATAATCAGGTTTAAGGGAAGAAGCCGAAATCTCAAGGTTAAAATATCTACCCTCTTCTGGCCTCATCTGTCTTCTTCCTGAAAGGAAACAGTTCCTCCCAGAGGGGTTTATTTCTCTTTGGATATCTCTAATTTGAAAAAAGTTCTTCCTCACATTACGCTTGGCATCTGTCTCCTTTAATTCTATTTTTCTTTTTCTTTTTGTTTTTGTTTTTTTTTTGAGACAGAGTTTCTCTCTTGTTGCCCAGGCTGGAGTGCAAAGGCGCGATCTCGGCTCACTGCAACCTCTGCCTCCCAGGTTCAAATGATTCTCCTGCCTCAGCCTCCTGAGTAGCTGGGATAAAAGGCTTGCACCACCACACCTGGCTAATTTTGTATTTTTAGTAGAGACGGCGTTTCTCCATGTTGGTCAGGCTGGTCTCAAACTCCCCACCTCAGGTGATCTGCCCGCCTCGGCCTCCCAAAGTGCTGGGATTACAGGCGTGAGCCACCGCGCCTGGCCTGTCTCCTTGAATTCTCTACTCATTCTACCTAGCTCTGCTCCTTGGGATCCCAAAAAACAAATCTCTTTTCCAAGTCAAGGGGATAGTTTTCAAAAATACACATTTTAATTCTCATAATGAGAGAATCATCAAGTCTTACAGAAGTTCTGGAAATAAGATCCCTGATCAGTGATCAGTCAAAACCATTTATTTTTTCCTCCATTTGGTTTTTAAAAATTTAAAAGTAAACACATTCATGATTAAAAAAAAAAAAGTTCAAACAGAACACAAGGTGTAAAGTGAGAAGTAAATGTGCCCATCTCCCTCCCCATTCTCTACATTCATACTCCTCTACTCCCCAGAAATAATTACTATTAACAGTTTCTTGAGTAGCCTTCTGGCAATTCAAATGCAACAAACTTACATGAATACACAAATTTGGGTAATACTATGCACATTTTCCTACAACTCTTTTATGGAACAATATCTTGGACATATGAACATAGCAGCATATATAAAACAACAAGGTATTTACTGCAGAAGTATTTGTTATAGAATTTTGGATCTAAATTCACATGTGAGATTGGCCAGCAGTTTAATGGTGCTGTAATGGTAGGTTTTGTCAGGCTTGCTAACTTCATAAAATGATTAAGTAGCTGCCGTCAATCTTTTTTT